>NC_000001.11:232396242-232547757 GCF_000001405.40 Homo sapiens
AATAGAAATTTGAAAATATGCAACAGAGGCAGTCAGTGACTCCCAAGGCCTCAAATCGTTCGTTTGCAGAAAAAGCCCCACACAGAAAGTTTGAAGACCTACATGGTCCATTCTGCTTTAGAAGTCAGAATAATCCATTTAAAATAGAGCTCTCATCAGGCATCTTTCCTGCTTCAATGGCTTCTTTTTGACTTGGAACAAAATCCAAAGTCTAGCATGGCCTCCAGTTCCTTCATGGTGTGGCTTTTGCTGATCTCTTCAAGCACATCTCCCTCCACTCTACCCTCCGTTACGTCCTGGCTTCTGCTAGACTTCTTGAATACACTAACCTTAGGGACTTTGAACCTCATGTGCCCTCGTCTACCCATGGACCACCCTATCTAGGTCCTGATTCCTCATCTTTAAAAAGGGGAGTGATGATGGCACCTACCTCACATGGCTGCTAGGTAGGTAACACAAAGCTCAACAGGACCTGGCACCCAGGAGCTATTCAAACAGTATCAGTGTTTATAATAATTACTTAAGGTAGCCTGTTGCAGGTACTTTTATTTCTGTCTTTCATGTTTTGAAGTGATCTTATGTCTGTCTCCCCATATTAGATTGTATGCCTGTGCACACAGGGGCCCTGACCGGTTGATCACTGTTGGATTTTCAGCTCCTAGCATGCTGCCTGGTTCACACTGATGGGAAAGAAAAAAAAGGGAAGGAGGGAGGAAGGACAGTATCTATGTGGCCCATAAGGTCCTTATTCCCTGAAAATCTCCAGTCCCTGGCTGCAAATTTTGGATGTGCACCTGTGCATTTCATAGAGGGCAGCTGCATGAAACAGCTTTAGGAAGCCTACTGCTACATCCACTGTGAGAATGTTAATTGTTCAATATGCCTCTCATGTGAAGCCCATATGGAAAATTCCTTTTGGGGCCAATTCTAAGAGTCAGTTTGCTTCCTCTGAATTCTTGATATGCTTTCTGTTCTTCAAAGGTTGAGAGGAATGGACCTTACAGTGTTTCCCTTCACACCTGGATCTATGTTTTGTGTCTTCTTACATTGGATTCAAATTTACAGTTTACCTCTTCCTGATAATTTTTCAAACTCTTACTGTTTTTGTTTGTTTTTTGAGATGGAGTTTCGCTCTTGCTGCCCAGGCTGGAGTGCAATGGCGCTATCTTGGCTCATCGCAACCTCTGCTTCTCGGGTTCAAGGGATTCTCCTGCCTCAGCCTCCCGAGTAGCTGGGATTACAGGCATGTGCCACCATGCCCGGCTAATTTTGTACTTTTAGTAGAGACAGGGTTTCTCCATGTTGGTCAGGCTGGTCTTGAACTCCTAACCTCAGGTGATCCACCCGCCTTGGCCTCTCAAAGTGCTGGCAACACCAAAGTGTTATTTTATTTTATTTTTTTAAAGGCAGTCTTGCGTAAATTACTTCACTTGACCCACAGTTCATGTGGTTGTAAATGGGAACCCCACCTCCTACCTATGAAGGATAGATACCATTGGGGTTAAATGAGATGGATGAAAAGTTCAGAGAATAGTGTCCGCCACACAGCAGCTATTAAAAACTGCTAGGTACTCCTTCCTGAAATCGATCTGGGATTCTATGAGAAAGGAGCTGAACAGTATTTAATACAAATCAAGGTTCTAAATGACCTGAAATAAATTCACATACAGTCAGACTGTTGACATGTTAGATCACAAAAAATCTAGTCACCTGACAACACCATTTCTTATGTGGACTTCTTTTAAACATTTATTAAAAAAGCAAAATGTATGTTCATCTCAAATCTAACAGTTAAAAATGGTAAAGCAATACAAACAATGTGTTACTAGCAGCATCCAGTCGTTAGAATCTCTCACCCTGCTTCTCGGTCTGATCTGTGCAAGCTCAGTCTCTTCTGAGCCTGCAGCTACCTCCATCCCTCATCGTAGTGCAGGCCAAACCAAATTTTATAAAATTAACAATTTAAGGTTAAATAAGCTTAAATAAGGGTGTTAAATACAAGACACTTCATCAAAGCTTCTGTACAAAGATAAACAAATCTGGCATTGTACAAGTGGTTCCGCTGGCTCACAGCACACAGGGAAGTTCTAGTGAGTAAGCAGATTCACTCTCATTTCTTTCCAGCAGAGCAACTATACAAAAGTGAACTAAGAGTTGAAGTGACTACTGACCACTCGGTGAGCCATTTACAAGGCATATGTATCTTTTTTTTGTTTTTAATCAGAACACTGTTAATATTCAGGCACCATTTGTTCCTGCAAATAAATAAGTCTCTAAGGTAACTGCATCTGAACTAGTGTTAAACACAACAGTGCTTTTTTTTTTTTTTAATCCCCCCACAAAGCTTTTCCAACTATGTACTATGCCTCCTTTCTTATTGCTATGGTAATGTGGCTGTGGAAATAAAACTACTGTACATCCAAAAAAATAGAGCACCTTTAACATTAAAGTATATGTCTGATTATTTGTTCTCATGTTTATTTTACAATACTAAAGCCCAAACTATGGTAAATTGCTTTACATCTCTACCAGGTCACCTGATATACAGGAAATAAAACTCAACTATCTTCCCTCTTGAGGTAAGCCCAAGCCAGAGCACTGTTTTAGCAGAGTCTAAAAGAAAAAGGTCTCAACTGTCGCCAGGGTTTACATTCATCTTCACACCAGGAGTTACATTCATTCATCTTCACATCGGCGCTGCTCTCTGCCGTGGTTACCGAGAAAGAGTCGAGGCTCCCTATCCTGCTGTGGTGAATGGTGCTACACAGAATGGAACAGCAAAAACATCTACGATTGGTTGAAAGCACACAGAAAAACCACATGTTTGTGACTTCAAAGGGACAAGGGGCATTTCCCAGTGGTCCCTTGATGAGGTGCGGATTGGCTAAGATTTTTTGTCGATGGTGGTGAAAAACCATTCTGTGAATTTCCGCAGCTGAGCTGTCGCGGTCTGGGACTCCTCCTGCAGTCTCATGTTGTCCTGTCTCAGGTGCTGCACTTCTGCTTGGAGAACGGCCTTGTCTTGTTTTTCCTGGTCAGAGCAGAAATAAACTGAGTCATGGAGACTGATCGATACATTCATTCCTCCTAAGCTGGGCTACGAGAATCTTTGATTCTTATTTTTACTTATGTACTTTTTGAGGGGAGAAGGGGTGACTTTCTTTAGTGAGGGGACTTTTCTGATCCTGATTCCTGCTGATGACAAAGGGATGGGAATGAACACTCCACACACCCTGTTCTTTCATCCCACTCTGCTCCCATGGGGTGCTAAGATAGCCTTTATATAGGAAGGGTGTTCATCATAGTTTATATTACCCTCTATCCAAAAAAGGGAGACTACAGGGAGGTTAAAGGTAATACCCTTTTGACAAATGCACAAAACTTTCTAAGTAGAAAATTGGAATTAGCAGAGCTGTTACATATGTTTATAATAAAATATGTACTTAGGTCTTTCATTCCATCAAGCTTTCCTGCTATACTATATTTCCATAATGACCCTTAAAATCTGCTATTAAAAACTGTGTAAAAATAATCAAGACTTTCAGAAGAATCACATCTGGAGTTTCCAACATGTAGCAATAAAAAAATGTATAGCAGCAGTTTCAGTTCCCCCCCTGCTGAAAGGGATGCCTTGCCCTAAATGAATAGAGGGGTCACTGTCAGATTGTAATAATCGGTATTTCTGTAACGGGATCTAACTCAACCACTACAGCCACCACATGCCACCCCCAGCACTGTGCAGGAGCATTGAGTGAGGTGAGTGGACGCCCCCACCCTTGGCATATCTGGTCCTGCCCTCAAGGCTTCCTCGTTTCCTGAGCCCTTCCAAGGCCCTCCTCAATACCACCTGCCTGGTCACTGGCCCAAAAGACACTGGTCCTCAGAGGAGGCCTGAATCAGAGCTGACCACTCACTTTGCTGTAAGGAGCAACTGCAGCCCACCCTGGATAGACTCACTTCACTCTAAGAAGCAGCTGCAGCCCACCCTGGATACTGACTCTCCCCGGACATTCCTCACCACGACTCTCAGTCCCAAGACAGTCTGAGTCCCACAGCTCAGCACATCTCTGCTGCGACTCGGCTGCCCACCTCTCCACATCCCTGCAAACCTTTTATTGTGATCCATGAACTTGGATTCTGCCAAGAAGACCTTGTGCACGCTCAGTCTCTCCTGAAATTCCTTTCGTCTTCGTGCTCTAAGTGAATCCTGGCTCCCTCCCGAGGAGACCGTCCCCAGCAGCTCACTATGGGGGTCGGGCAGGCAGACAGTGCATCCTCTATTGTTCAGGCCAGATCTCCACTACTTCCTACAATTCCAGCTCCTCTAAAAAACGTGCCATTAGGTCATGAGACCTGCTACCCCTCCTGGCTGCAATTATCTACTGTATCCCCAGTTCCAACCATCATTACGGGAAGATTCTAGAACCTGGTTTGCTCTTTTCTCCCCATCCCACTCCTGTCATCTGTGTTGATGATTTCGAATCCACTGAGATATTCCATCTGACACTCTGGCCGTTCAGCCTCTCCATCGCTTTCTCTCAGTGATCTTCAAACCCCACCCTCCTCAACCCCCACTCCCATGACCACATCCTATACCATGCTATTGTCAATGACTGCACCTCTTCCTAAAAGTTTCAAGTTCCTACTTCTTGACCACCACCTCCAGTCTTTTAAAAATAATTTCTCCAGTATCCACTCCTCCAGTAATGATAGACTCCATCAATCTTATCAATCTTACTCTTATTTTCACTGTCCACCAACACCTCCAACCCAGCCATTCCCCAGCAGTGACATTATTTCTCTTCAACCAGCCTGGACTCCAGGTTCTTTGGTTTATTCATGCCCTGTACACGCCCCAGGGTCCTTGTCTCTCTCTCTCTCTCTCGTCTTGATTTCCCGTCTAAACTTTAATATTGGCTAAATTCAACTCTCCAACGGTTCTACACTTGCAGCTGGAGATAGGGTGACCAGCCATCCCAGCTTGCATGGGACTTTGCCGGTTCTAATATGGAAACTTCCACATCCTAGAAAACTTCTCCATCCCGGGCAAACTGGGACAGCTGGTCACCCAAGCTGGGGAAAAAACACACGACCAGGAAAACAGGTATCGCTTTAATTTATGCTCCAAATTCAAACGTGCTTTAGCTTTTTTTGGGCAAGTCTCCTAAACCCGGTTGGTTTACACGCTGTGGTGCACCCATATCCGCTATCCACAAAACTCTTATACTCCCACCACTCTTAGCTCATGACTAGAAAGAAAAGAAACAATCAGAGAAATTTGCCAACATCTCTGTCTGGACCCTGTGTATGTGAATGAACATGTGCATATATGAACACACACATGTGCACACATACTCTGCTCCACTCTGGTAACTATGTATGAGCTGTCCCTACTCCTATCCAAGGCCAGCTCCCTCCTTGTGACTAGATCAGAACTCCACCCACTTGCTCTTCACCCTCATCATAATTTCCCTCCCAACTGAATCCTTTCCTCAGCATTCTCACCAGCTACAATTTCTCCCTTCTTCATAAGCCAAACCAAACCAAACCATCACAACAAAAACCTTCCTGTGATGCCCTCCCGCTTGCTACCGCACCCCATTCCGTTTCCCTGGACAGCCAACTGGCTCTCCAGCACAGGGCTGATGGAACAGAGCTCAGCCAAGTATTTGTGGGATACAGAATTTAATTTCTTTTGAGGACAGACCATGTGCAGGTTGATGTGTACAGCAGAAGTTCTAAGGGCTGTGAAGCTGATTCAAGACAGAGGACAGGACTCATAGAGACCAGGCTTTCTGGCAGCAATGGACTCCTCTGAGGTCATCTCATACAGAGTTGGCGCAACTGATAACTCACTGAACTAAAAAATGCTGGCCCACCATGCTTCTACTACACACTGAAGATTTGCCACACCAAGGGCTCATCCTCATTTACTCATATCCATTGAGATCCCTGCATCCCACAAAATGAAATACATCAGCTGCAGGTCAGCAGATGGAGTGAGACCTCAGGAGCATCTGTTGGTATTTATCATTGGTTTTTGTGTAAGGCAGTTTTCTTTCCTGAGTCTTTTCAATTTATCTGTAGTAGTTATAAGGGGCTGATTTTATAAGAGAAACAGTTCTGATTATGCTCTTCCAATTGATTACCTTCCGAAGGTCGGTCTGGAGTTGTCGAAGAATTAATTCCAGCTGATTGACTTTCCCGGTCAGTGGTGATGGAGAACGCTCCCTAGCAAATAAGGATAGAATTAGAAAGATTCAAGAGAGTCAATCGAGCATTTTTGTTGGTCAAGTTTTCACTCGAAAAAATTATTTCATGTGCTTAGAGCCCAGCAAGCAGATATATTATATTATGTCAGAATGGGAAAGTGTCCATATTGCTGATCTAGTGGAAAGCCCATTCTGGGACTTTACTGATTTAAAAAGAGATGCAGAAACTCTATAGATATACGAGTTGGTAGGAAAACAAAAGATATATTATTTAAGTTGGTTTATCCAATGGAGACAAGGAAGACCCAAATGAAGTCCTGGGAACCAGTCAATTTCCCCAATTTGCCTTTCCCTATGATAACAATATTATGAAGCTCGTTACCAATGTGAACATGCAAGTTAATGAAGTTAATTCCAAGTTCTATATTCAGCTCACATAGAAGTTGGAATTAAGAATGGATGACAGAGGTAAAGAATACACATTTCACGGGGAATGAACATGTCATGAATATAGGGGAAAGAGTGGGGTGTTCCCAACATATTTCAGTGGAGGGCATGAGGCTGGATCAAGGACCAGGTTCTGGGAGGGGCCATGCCCTGGGCTGGTGAGCATGTGCAGCCTGGCAGGTGGAAGGCCAATCGGCGAGTTATCCCTGCATGGTGCTGTTGCAGTAATTCAGCAGCAGACGCTGACCTTGAGGCCTCTTCTTGCCCTCTTTGACAGTGAGGCTCGTCACCATGGGCACAGGGTCACAAGTCTTGGCAGGCAGGGTGTGCCCATGGAGCAGAGGGGTCATGCAGCCAAGAGCGGTCTCCCACAGCAGGGCAGGGAGCCAAGTAGTCCCACTCAGTCCCTTCTCTGGATTCTTCAGGACTGGGAAAGGGCATGGTGCAATATGGTCGCCCGCCTGGCTCAGGGTTAGTCGGTTAGCCGAATCTTGGCTAATCATGCCTGGAACAGCAGGAGGGAGGGGTCCACAGGGGCTCACATACCCAGTTGTGTCCATGAACTCTTTGCCACTGCCTGGATCTACACATAAGGGCAGCTCTTGGGCCCCTTCCAGGTCCTGCCCATGCTGCATATCTGTCAGGGTGCAGAAGGATGCCACCCTCTGGTCTGGGGAGGGGAGAAACACACACAGAAAGAAGGGTTAGTAATCAATGCAAGGCAATGTTTCTTTGTGGAAATGCAATAGCTAAATAAAATCTTTTCCCCCCTTCAAACCAGTTACTGCCTTGTTTTGGAGCAAAACAAAGAAAAACAAATTCAGGCAAGCTTCTGAGAAGGAGAAAGCATGGAGATTGGCTGTCCTCCTACTGGGCTGTATGGCCTATGCACATCACAGCCATGGGGACAATTAGCAGACACTGGATTTGCTACAGCCAATTTGCTTTCTTCTTTCCACATCCCAAGAAATGCCAAAGCTGCTGGCTATGCATGAAATAATAGTTGGATAATGACTCGACTGACAGAACAAAGGAGAGGGACCTCTCTCTCAAGTTCTCCCCAAACCCGGAGAAGGTTCTGGAGACAGAACAGCCAGGACACATGTCCCGCTGTGCACCCCCAACCCTCAGGGCGTGAATAACCATGCAGACGTGCAGACACATGAAATATACAGAAAAGGTTACAGGATATCAGGAGCCAACGAGCAGCCCCAGACAATCACCTAGATAGGACGTGTGGTGACAGAGCAGCCCCAGTTCTTCATCTGAGTCAAGACCTGAAATAAGATTTAGAATTTTCCTATGAACAGGAGTATCTCTCTATACTTGAGAATCTCGGGGGCCCACAAAATGCGGCTGTGTGAAGTAGTGTGTGTGTGTGATGGACCAGGGGAAACCCTTGAGAGCCAGTATCATGTAACTCCAATGCAATGAGATGACACATTTCATGTTTTCACTGTTGGTTGGAAGCGGGGCTGTAGGGTACAACAAAGACATGTGGTATGCCATACACACATGGATCCAACCATGAGCATACACAACTGTGGGCTTACTTAAATGACTCACTCCACAAATCCAAAGAGAGTGGTGGTAAGAGAGATTAGCTAAGTAATCTCACTAGAAACCCTTAAAGGAAGATCTGAGGGGCTCAGTATGTATAGCAGTAGCACCAATGATCAGTATGACTACAATGCCTTATCTTAGCACAAGGACATTTTTATTCTTGGCACTAGGAACTTAATATTCAATGTTTTAAGAGGTCGGAAGGAAAGGGAATAGAATAGTCTTAAGAATGGGCGCCAGACTGGCCCAGCTCTGGGGGCTGAGCACTGACCAAGAACAGCAATCCAGAAATGCTGAATGGCATGCAGGAAAATATTCTGTTTTTGAACCACATGGAAGTGAGAACCTCGCAATCTATTCCATGATCAATTCACCCTCATTCCCTGGAGTCTCTCTGCTTGGTTTCTGAGCACACTTATGTATCTACAGTAGGAATCTGAGGTATACAGCAGGCGTGTTAGTGCTGTGGCAGTCCTTTTCCTATGAATTGGTTAATTCTGGAGAGACTGCACTTGGATCCGTGTCAGGGGTGCTCCACTCTTAATTTACCCCACTCTGCCTCCCTCTGGCTGCTGGACAAGCCTCCTAATGAGGCTACCTGCTTGTTTGCTTTATGGCAGGTCATACACTTCCAGTTAATTAAAAAGGATGGTCACATTGAAGCTGCCAGGAACATATGAAGGAAAGCCAAGGCTGTAGGCTGTGGCCATGGTGCTGAAAGCACCGTCAGTGCCCTGACAGAGGCCTGGGCCCTCCTGAGTGCACCCAGCTACTGATTGCATTAAGAGTTCTCCATCCATGTGGCTCCATTTGCTAACACACCTGCCCTAGGCAGGCAGATGTCTTTCAACTAATTCTGTAAAGCTCCACACATCGAATCTTCCATAAGATGATAAACATTCTATAACTATACATTCCTGAGCATCATGTTACCAATTTGGTACTGCATAGTAGGCTTTTTGCATAAAGTAATTTGCTATTTAATTAAGATCAACAACATAGTTGGGGCCCTGCCAACTTCTACTATGATGTGACCTGCACAGCAGAGCTGGGGGCAGAATCCTGGCTGGGCTTGAGCTGCTCTAGGGGCTGGGTGGGGAGGTCTGGGCTGCAGTGGTGTCCAACATAACCCTCTGTTCTGTAAAGAGCCCAGAATATGGGAACACATCACATTTTAAAAAATCTTTAGGAGATATATTTTTATTCCATAGTGACTTTACTGACCAGAAAAGGAATGGAAAAGAAAATGGATAAAAATTTGTCTAACTCTTTAGGAGTTTCATTGACTCATCCTTGTTTTATGCAAGCCAGTGATAATTCAGTTATGTTTCTTTCTCAATGTATTTGGGTCTGGTGGTCAAGTCTAAATACATGGATGAACATGCCTTAGCTTCCTTCATCTGTTTTTACCTTAATTGATAAAATACCCACATATTTAACAGAAACAGAATTTCCTACAGGCAGTCATTCAGACATCCCCTAGGGAGAAACAGGGTCCTACTGGTCAGGAGGCAAGAAGCCAAAACTAGAGTTTTGCCAGCAATGTAATTTCACAAACAGGATTTCACTTTGGAATTGAAAAGCTTGGGAGGCTGAAATGCAAAGAGGATGCTATTTGATTAAGTACAGACACCAAGCTACTTTATAAAATAGCTAATCTTAGAGACAGTTTCCAGTGGAAGCTTCATGCCCCTTCAGCTTATTTCTGATGATAAATATTCAATAATCAAGCAATTACTGAGATAGAATCAAATGGCACCAACAAAACCATCAGAAAAGACAGGCACAAGAATAGGAGCTTCATGTACGTGGTCACGGTTGGTACAGATCCAATCACCCACACTCCACACGTGGAGCCCCTTCGGTTTTCTTTCCTGTGTGAGCAGATCTGGCTAAGGTGGAACGCTGGGCATGGCTGACACACAAAACAATCCATCCTTTAAAATAATCTTTTAAAAAACCTTATTTCAATGTCAGTTTCTTATTTTTAGTGCATTTAACACTAAACAAGATGAATAGTCAACAGGCTATTCCATATCCTAGAGCCAAGATGGCAAAACAGATGACTGCAAGTCACTCCCATGACCCCGTCTAGGATGCCTGCAGCACCAGGAACATAAGGCCAAGGCTGGATTGGTGGGGGTGAATGGTCTGATCAACATGTCATGTCTGTTGAACATAAGGCCAAGGCTGGATTGGTGGGGGTGAATGGTCTGATCAACGTGTTATGTCTGTCCAACATAAGGCCAAGGCTGGACTGGTGGGGGTGAATGGTCTGATCAACGCGTCATGTCTGTTGAGGGTGAGGAATAGAACGATAGTGCCTGCCCCAGATACATGCCAGATGGAACATCCAAGTACGAGGCTAGTTGAAATTAAACCTATTTCCACAAATAAAGCTGTTCTAATATGTCTTTGTTAGAACTGCAAACTAAAGACAAAGTAGGGTTTTGTAGCTACATGTAGAAAATTAAAAGTTTTGATTCTGACACCTGTGCTTATTGCATTGCAGAAAACTGACTTAACTGGCCACTAGGAAAGGAAAAAAGGCTGCACTGTACTGTTTTCCACCTAAAATTCTCTGGTTTAGACTTTTGGAAGCCCATCCATGCATGTAAAAAGATAATGGTCTAGTATCTGCCTATGAGTAATTAACAAGAAAAAGTCCTGAAATTATTCTTTATTTAAGAAACAACTATTGCATTGGCCTGAAACCATTTCAATTTACTTTTGAGATAATTTAAATGGATTTACTATTCCAAATTTGACTTTGCATTTTTCACCCATGTGGTAGTCATTTTTCTTTCCATTTTTTTTTCCACTAATTATGTTACCACTAGGAGTTACTCAGTAAGTCACATTTTGTTTATACTTATATACACACACTCTCTCATACACACAGTGGTCAAATATCAATAACTGTAACAACTTTATCAACTTTAAGCTGAAGCTTCATAACAGAAAAAGTTCTCATCATAAAAAGGGATGTTTATTATGCTCTGTTTAAGAAACCAAGGGCCTAAAGAACACAACAAATTAAAGATACAGACTTTGAATTTTTGGAAAATACGGTTATGTGGAGCATTTCATTGCCACAGTGGTGCCTGGAATGTGAATTGTTAACTCTGCATGTGTCTTTCACATTGATATTTGCACAGGAGCACACACACGTCCATGCTCCCAAACAGCTATGGGAAGATGGCGATCTCTACCACCAACTGGGGAAGTCTGGAAACCTAGGAGGACAGGCCTTCGTGGGGCAGCAACATGGAATCCAGAGTCTAGGATCACTAGTTGGTGATTTTACCTTTGAAGCCTATGTTCACTGAAAACAACATTATCCATTCAACAAATGCTAAAAACACACCAACTGCCTCTTTCTGATATTCTGATGAATGAGAGCTACTCAAAATCCTAGAGCTTTTGAAGAGACTCCACTTCCCTTCCCCAGCTTCACTGTTTGACCCATAGCCAGGTTTTCTGGTCGGGTTTGTTCCCATTACCATGTTTAACGGGGGACGAAAGCCATTATATACATTATCAGGTACCCCCAAACTTGACATGATTCTACGTAACAAAGGGTATGATAAGCACTGCAGGGTGGCAAAACTATGATCTTATTGAACTAGACAGACCACCAATTTCACTTAGGAATTCTGACATGTAAGAAGGACATGTTTTGCCCTCCAACAAACAAAATAACTGCATACATTAAAACAAAGTCTAAAATGTGACTCCGCCAGCTTTTCAAACTTGACCTTACAGCATGGGGGAGGCACAGGGCATCCAACTTACTTTTGCCTTCTTAGACCTATGAAGGACTGTTTTTTTTTTTTTAAACTGTTTGGGTAGAGATATGTTATTTGATCACTTATTAATTTTTTTAAATGCACAATATTTTTCTATTGGAAGCTTTTTAATTCTTTTTAATAACTTTCTGTCAGCAAATTCTCAGGAATTAGATTTCTGGTTAAAAGGTGGGTACAGTTTTCTGGCAGTAGTAACATATTATCATATTGCTGAACAAAAAGATGGATCACTTTATAATCTTTATAATGATACCAGCTGTGAGTATTCTTCATAGCTTCCTAGAGTTATTGTATCATTTTTCATATTCAAAAAGTGTGAGCTGGTAACTCATTATTCTTTAAATTTACATGTGTGGTTGAACATTTTTCACCTTCTTATTTATTGTGCATTTGTCTTTTGTGAAATTTATATTCACATTCCTTGACCATTTGTTTACTGTGGGTTTGGTGTTTTTTTGCTGGGTAAGTTCCTTTACGTACTTTAGGTATCCTGGTTTTACCTATCACATTCTTTAGAAATCTTTTCCTAAAGTCCAATATTTCCTCTTTTATTTTAATATTCTCTTTCAGGCTCCCATAATTCTAAATATTTAAATACCTTTATCTGACCATATTACATTCTGTATGTTCTCTCACTACTCCATAATTAAAGCATAATCTTGCTTCCAAAACCACAATCTTACTTTTACTTTTTCTAAAGTTGACTTTTTAAATACCTAAATCCAAATGGAATACATAAATTCCTTACCCATGTAACTCTTATATTCAGATTTCTGTCTGAGCTCTTAATTTTTCTTCAAAAATTCTTATCCCTATTTTTGAATTATGCTGTTTTAATTATTATTAAGTTATAATAGATCTTTTGGTTGAATATCATTTACCTATTTTCCAAATGGAGGCAAATTTAGTTTTTCAACTATTTTTCTTGAAATTGCATTAACTCTACAAGTTAATTCAGGAAGCACCGTCATCTTTACTATGAAGCTTTCTATCCATTTCTAGTCTTACATATTAAGACTTTTCAGATATTAAAGCGTTCCTTGGAATTCTCTCATATTTCCGATGGTTTACTTCTCAAAGAACATGTTAATTCAATCTTACTGATATATCTAAGGTGTCTTGTGACTATTACAGTGGAAAGCTGTCTCCAAAGACAGCTGCCAACAACTCCTCCCTGTGTGCACCTGCCATCAAGAGGTAGAGGTAGAGTCTATGTTGCACCCCTGGAATACCGGCCTTGTGAACTACTTTGGCCTAAATAGAACGTGGTGAATATAATGTTCTGGGACATTCAAAACCAGGCCTTAAGACATCACAGAACTTCTGCTTTTGCTCTTCTAATTCCTTAAGCCCCCATGTGAATAAATATAACTACTCTACTGAAGGCAGGGGTCCCACTAGGCCTCAGCCATTCCAGACACAGACAGGTGAGTGAAATCTCCTTAATGCTCCAGATCCAGCTGAGCTGCAGCTGCATGCAGCTGCCTGAGTGACCCCAGCTAAGATCACATGGAGCAGAAGAACCACCCAGCTGAGCCTAGTCAACCCAGAGAATCATAAGAAATAATAAGCTATTGTTGTTTTTAGCCATAAATGTTGGGGGTGGTTTGTTACACAGCAATAGGTAACTGAAAAAATTAATAACACTTTGAAATTATACTTATAAAAATATATTTCAAAATATCTAATTACTTTACCTATTTTATAATCTCTAATTAAACTTCATTTTGATCTTTTGTATTTTCTATGTATAAAACCCTATCTAAATTTCTTTTATCTCCAACATTTATCCCTTTTTTTCTTTGCATTCCTTGTTTAAATGTCAAAGATTCCAGTATAAAAATTAAAGGGCACGGTCTCAAAGAGTACACTTGCTTAGTTTCTGGACATAAGCAATCTGCTTATAAACATTTTCTATTAAGTACTATGTAACCATTTGAAATAAAGTAGATATTAGTCTTTGGGGGTATCTCTCAAATCTTAATTTTTGAAGAAATAGGTTCTAATTCTATTAGATATACTTTTTTGGGACAAATTGATATAGCTTTTAATTACTTCACCTACTGTAACTTTTTAATTAAAGTTTTTCTTTTACTAAACTAAACTCTTGCCAATAACAATGAATAATCTTTTCAATTTACTACTGAATTTCATCTAAGCTTTCTCATACTAATATTAAAGACTGAGATTGTCTTATAATTATCTTTCCTGTGTGTACGTGTTTATCAGGAAAGAATCCTATCATGCAAGAAGGCTGCTTCTGAATTTCAAAATATATATATATATATACGCAAGGGCATCATTACTCTTTGAAACTCTGAAAACAATTAACTGTAAACTTATTATTTTCAGGTAATATATTTGGTATTTGGGGATATTCCTGGGTGACTTTTTCAATGCCTTCCACACCTGGGCCTTTGACCGTTTCTTATGCTCCCTGCAACGTTTTCTTGCAAGAAATAATCTAAGTACCTTATCCACCAAATGTATTCCTATATAGCTACTTGACGTTCCTTAGTAATTAAAAAAATCTCTATGTCTCTTTTTTAAAATGTCACCCAGAGAACATATTAATTAGAAAATATAGAGGACTGAGATCCACTTGGGGCCAGAAGCTAGGGGTTAGGGTGGTATACCAGTATTTTGTGCAGAAGGAACCAGCCAAGTAGCCTGCCAAGGTTTGCAGAAAATTAAGTGATCAAGTGCATCATCTTATACCATTAAAGACAGAAAAGAAATTTTCTGGGTAAATAAAGAGCCCCACAACTGGGATCAGCCAAGCTGGGCAGGCAGTGTGTATGTGCTACAGTGAATTAAGGAGGGTGTTCTGAGCTTGCATCTCTAGATTGCCCTTTGACAGGTTTCCTTCTGCCTCTACAGCTAATACTGTACATTTACATATTTAGATTTACAGGAAACCAAGTTCTTTAGTAAGGACAGGGTCTCGTCTTGACCAGATTTTATGGTTCAGGCTGGCCTGGTTTGCATTATGGTGGGGAGTGCAAGACCCCAAAAGATCACGAGGTCTCCATAATCCAAGCCAGGGAGAGGTAATAACATTCCTATCCTAGAGGTATCTGGGGTTTGAGGGGTAAGGCAGAACCCACTGTCCTCTGCAGGGAGATGGCACAGTTCTGCACAGGTCATTTTGGTCCCACTGTCTTCTTCTCATGTTAACTTAACCTCCTTTCTAACATGGTTCATTTGTACTTTTTTATATTTTGGATCAAATTTGCTATTGGTTTATCAATATTCAAAGAAAAACTCAGGTTGTTAGTTTTATTTATAAATTGCAGTGTAATTTCAATTGCCAGTTGCTTTTTTTTTTACAACTTACTTCATTCCTTTTCTTTGTGTGTTTTTCTTTCACAGTTTTTGTGGAATCTTTTTAAGTACAGTTAAGTTAGTTAATTTTCCCTTTTTGCCATTGAAATAAATGCTTCTGAAACATATTTTTCTTTAAAAGCTACCCTCTCTCTGGGTGTAGTCCAGATTTACAAAGCATCTTTTTCATGATCCTAAAAAAATTGCTCTTGTCATATTCATTAATTCTTCCCAGCATAATTATTATTACAGTAACATTTACAACTTTCTAAGTGGTCAGATTTTTGTGTTTTGCTTCTCTTTTTCTTATTTAATTCTATTATCACTGCCTTATGGTCAGCAATGTGGTCTGGAAACACGCCTCCTTTTTGGAGGGAGCTTACTGAGTCCTTATGCACAGAATACCTGACTCTCACCCACAACTATACCATTTATTATGGTCCTTGCACGAATAGAGTTTAAACATTTAAGTAGTCATGATTTGACAGCTTAATTTGGTGCCTCTGCTCTAAATTGGTATAGTATAGTGGTATAGTAAAATCTAAATTCTTAAACTCGCATCCAATGTCAACTTTAGCCCTTAAATGAAGGTGAACATATCATATGCCAAAATGTGTAGCATAAACGAGGTAGACTAATGGGGGAGAGGCAAGTCTGCCAGGGATCAATTACACTATTGGATTTTATAGGGATCATGGGATCTCAATCCAATAGGCAGGTAAATTCCATTTTCCAAGCCTATTTTCAGATATACTAACTGAAATAGGGGCACAGGATTATTCCAAGGAAGTCTGAGGCAATAAGCCTTTTGAACTGCCTTTGTTAGTTTGCAGCAATAACATAAACAAGTACATGGACATGTTTTGGGTTATCTTTTCTTTATAATGTTTACTCTAGCTCAGAAATGGCCTTGAGAACTGGTACAAAAAGATAAAGTTATGAGCAGGGCAACTGGGTTATCTACCTGAAGACATTTCTCTTTAAAAGTGCTAAGGAGATTGATCACGCTCATCACCACCATGCAACTCACGAGACAGGGGAGCAGGTCACTGGGATACAACCTGAGGCAACACTGATACAAGGGAACCTGATTAGCCAAAGGAGGTACACATACTCAACCAAATTTTCATAAGCTGGCTACTGTCTCACCATGACATGCCACCCTATGGAGCAGCATCAAAAATTAAACACGTCATTAACTCCTTCCACATTATTTTATCTATCAATGTTAGAGGTCAATGCTAACTCCTCCCACATTATTTTATCTATCAATGTTAGGGGTCAGTGGTAACTCCTTCCACATTATTTTATCAATGTTAAAGCTCAGATAACCAAAGTCTTCTCCTTTGGCAAATAGAATATTACATTATTTTCTGTTTAATTTAGGCATTCATGTACCTGAGGGCACTGGCTAGGGAGAATTTCCATGTCATACTTTTTCCCTTCTGTGCCAACTACCACCCATACTCTTACTTCAGCTTAGAAATACTTGTTGATAATGAAACCACAGAACTAGAGGTTTAGGACTAGATGAAGCTTTCCTTACAGGTTCTTTGGTTCTTCATTTTACAGATGAGAAGACTGAAGCCCAAATTAATTCAGCACATGTCCAAAAGGATTACTATTTAACATTCACCAAGTTCATATTTGTAAAAGACCTAGAAGAGTATTGGGACAAAGTGTGGATGTCATAGTAGTTAAGTGACTTGTCCAAAGGCCTATGGCCCAGAAATGGCTGAAGTTATGACCGAAATCCCTAAATTGATCATTCAGTCCATGCACCATTTTGCCTTCTCTAATCCCCTGGAAAAAAAAATGCATTTTCTAGCAGTCATTCTGTTCTGAAGGAACATTTGAAAGGGGTGGAAGGGAACCAAGTAAAGACATAAACAAGGGTAGATACAGAGATAAGGTGATAAATATTGTTTGAAATCTGAAAGGTGATCACAAAATGCAAAAGGATATAAGAGGTTGAGAGCTGTGCTATGAGCTGGGATAGTTCTGGGCTGTGTAAAACTGTGTGTATTGAATACCTACTTACTCCTTGTTACTAGCGCTTCTCCTTTGGTTATCTTGATATGTATTTTTGACAAATACAGATAAAATAATAAAAGAGGCAGCCTTCTCTTAAGAAACTCATCTCTTAAGAGACAGGCATGAGAATGAAGCAGAATTCAGTGCGTTCAGTACTCTGCAGATAGTTACACAGTGAGGCCACACAGAGATCTTATCTCTGGTCTAATCTCTCCTGGGGCAGAAAGATCTGGTCAGAGTGAGAGACTGTAGTGTGTAAAGAACACCCCAGGGAAAGAGAAAATGGTGTTACCTCCCCTCTGGGTTGCTCTGGACAGAGGTAAAGACAGCGTCCCTGTGCTCTGGTGCTGGGTCATGCCCAAGAAAGTGCTAGAAGCATGGGGAGCCCAGGAAACAACTAGACCACCAGCCTGGGGCTTCTAAAATATGCAACTAACTTCTGGTAGCATCAGAGAATGAGGGTCTCCCCACAAGGCAGACAGGCAGACAGGGCTCTTCTGAAATTTCTACAAGGACTGAGTGGTTTGTAAAGAAAGCAGTCTCGTTCCTTCCATTTAGGGAGCAGTGAGCGCACATTCATGTTGCAGAAGCTTCCTCCTAGCAAGCTGCCTTTCACCTACTTCCCCTGTGTCCACTTGAGAGTGGATTCCAACTCCTGTTCCCAGAGGCTCAGGACCAGAGGCACTGATACCAGCTGGGTAGAGCGAAGCCACCATCGGGCCTCCCTAACGCATTACGCTAGTCACAGATGAGGGGCAGTGAACCCTCAACCTTCCGCATTTTGACTTCAAATGCACCTCCCCTCCTGGGAAAAGAATTTGATTTTGTTTCCTGAGGCCTGGTGTCACAGGTGATGGGGCTGTGCTAGCAGAGACTGAGAAGGGAAAAGAAATGGGGAGTGAGAAAGAGAAGGAAGGGCCCTGAGGCCTGAGAAGGCAGCAGTGGACTCGGGCGCCTCCAGGATGCTGTGACTCAGTTACACCATGAGAGTCTCACAGAGCGCAGGGCATTAAACAGCCCCTACTAAAATGATCCTGCCTCCTTTGTCAGTCCTAGCTGCCAGGTTCCCCAGTGCCAGAGCCTGCCATCGTAAAAACTCACTGAAGAATGCAGCGGCAAAGGGCAAAACGTCATAAGTCACGATCCCGAGGGCCCCAGGTTTACACAGTATCACCGTGAGGTCCTGAGGCTGCACGTGAAGCAAGCATCTTCCTTGTTTTGTCTACCTTTATCTGCGAGCTGGACAAAGGTGTTCCTGAAGGGGTAGCCTCAACCAAAAATGACAGAAGACAGTGTGGCAGCTGGATGGCTCTTAGAGATTGGCTAGCCCACCTACCCTCACTGACCCACATTTTAAGAGGAAGAAGCCGAGGCCTCAACAGCCAAAGACACTTGCATGGGTCAAGCCAATCACGCTGGAGTCTGTGTTTACGCCAGGTGAACAGACTTCTCGGCCTGTGCTTGTCCGGCGAAGCCCAGCAGCTCCCGCCTCCTAAATGTGTCCCCCACATTATACCTCAGTATGCTATGAGGAAAGACGCAAGGTGCTCTCCATACAATCACCTCTACTTTTCAGATAGGAAACAGAGGTCCCACCCAGGTCACAAATGGTGCCAGAGCTAGAATTCGGGTTTTCAGATTTCTTGCCTAGTGCTCCTTTTACTAAATGACATGATCTCCCTCAGGAAATGTCCTCACAGCCCAAGCCAGCCCCTGCTTGTTTTCATCATCCAACAAGGCAAAACATTCAAAACTTTGACCAGACGATGGGAGACAGACGGGCTCCCCTAAGATGCCGCACAGGCCCTGCAGGAAAGCACTCCCAGGGTAAGGGGTGAGGCCAGAGGCTGGTGAGTCTTTACCTTCAAATGCCCGTGCAGCATCCACGAGGTGGGTCCAATCTAACCCTGTGGCTGTGTCCGGGAGGGGCATCAGGCCAGGATCTGCGCACTTGGACTTATCTGATAAGGACCCATCGGAGAACCAGAACTCATCTAAACAGAAACAAAACCAGAGAGTCAGTCATCAGTCACAGCACGGGCACCAGCCCAGAGTGAGTCAGAACATGGGCACCACTGCCCCTCCCAGAGTCAGTCAGTCAGAACACGGGCACCACTGCCCCCTCCCAGAGTCAGTCAGAACACGGGCACCACTGTCCCTCCCAGAGTCAGTCAGTCAGAACACGGGCACCACTGTCCCTCCCAGAGTCAGTCAGAACACGGGCACCACTGTCCCTCCCAGAGTCAGTCAGAACACGGGCACCACTGTCCCTCCCAGAGTCAGTCAGTCAGAACACGGGCACCACTGCCCCTCCCAGAGTCAGTCAGTCAGAACACGGGCACCACTGTCCCTCCCAGAGTCAGTCAGAACACGGGCACCACTGTCCCTCCCAGAGTCAGTCAGTCAGAACACGGGCACCACTGTCCCTCCCAGAGTCAGTCAGTCAGAACACGGGCACCACTGTCCCTCCCAGAGTCAGTCAGAACACGGGCACCACTGTCCCTCCCAGAGTCAGTCAGGAGTCAGTCAGTCGGAGCACAGCACAGGCAATGCTATCCCCTCCCAGTGAGTCAGTCAGCACAGGAACCACCATCCCCTCCCAAAGTGGCCAAGATAATTTTTCCTGCTCTTAATGGAAAAAGAAAACATGAGGCTGCAGTTGCCCAAAAGGGATCTAGCTGGAAAAATGGAGGTTTGTAAAAAGCAGGCGAGTCTGCACTAGTGAGAGGTTGGCCAGCATGTAAGGGCAGGGATGGCAGGAAGATTAGAATCAAGCCTCTGTACACTATTGTAATTTCGCGGTTTTCTTCCAGGGGGCTTCTTTTGAGTACATCCAGGTCTGACTATTGCAAGACAAATCCTCATTTTCTTCAGGGGAGACCTTCCTCTTTTTAAAAGTGTTGCAGGGTTTACGTTGCTGTAAGAAGTATTGGAACAATCTCCATCCTGATTCATAAAGCTTACTGAGGAACACTTCTAAGCTGAGCACCACAAACTTGAGATGCCTCAAATACCAATTGATTATAAAAATGTAGTAAGACCAACTTTGCTTTTATCAATACATGAGATTGAGGATGCTATTTGATATACAAAGCACACACATAGTGGTTGGATTACCTTTCTGACTTAGTAAGGTAGTTTTATCAATGGCTAAAGCAGAAACCACTCACCCACCCTGTATTCAATGTTGGGTGGTTTTCCTTTGGCTATGAATGGACCTTTTCCATTTCTTTTTCTCCTTAAACTCTCATCAAGGTACTTAAGTGTTTATGTCATTAATAATACTCGTTGTTAAGAACTTATTACGCATCTGAGGACAAGTTCTAAAAAGGCTTCAACTGGACTTTAATGTGCCTTTTCTGAACCTGCCCAGAACACTGCATGCAGCTGCTTGTGAACACATCTGACTAATTAGACCAATCAAAATAATGACCACCTGGCTGTTTGAGCCTGCAATTATGTTAAGTAAGGGGGCATAATTAACCAAATGCACCTGTAATTTTTATTCCCACATCCTTTTGGGTAGCTGTGAAATGCTGGCATCTGGACTAAGACAGCTAGTAAATTTGGCCTTGAAGGAGACCGACAGACTTTTTTGAGACTCTGGACAAATGCAGCTCTTACCAGATCTCTAACAGTTACAGCTACGCCAATTTTCCATGCTACCTACCACCTTTAGAAGTTGGGGTAATATTCCACCTAATTATTCCCTGCCTCTATTTTGAAGGGAACCCAGTAATGGATATATTGTCCACATTGTTTCCACCCTCCCTTCTCCACATGCTCTTCTTTGAAACAACACTGGTTCTTCCTTATTCTACTTGTTCTGTGTGTGATGTGCTTGTCCTTGCCAAGAGGTTAACCAGCAGAGGAGGGAAGCAGCAACGCAGGAGTGGGAGGTGGGAAGGAGGGCACGCAGCACTCACTGTTTCCCAGGAGCATCCTTGCTCCCTACTGGGCAAAGACTGGGCTGAACTGGCTGTCGGGTCCTGTCTCAGTTGCTTAGGAAGAAAGGGTTCCAGAAAGGTAAAGAAAGACCCTCAAGCAGAAAGGTAAAGAAACCCAGGAATCTTCCTTCACTTAAAAAACACTTCCTTCTCTCTCTGCAACTCATATGCTGCTTTGCTCAAGGCAAGTTTTCTGCACCGAGTGTAAAGAAATTAAATATGGAGGCAGCAATTACTTTTGTCACTGATTTCCACATGGCTGGGCTCTTCGGGAAACGGTGCAAGAGCGGCATAGCTCTGTGAGGGCCGCGGAGGTCAGGCAGGCTGGAATCTGGGCCCACTGCAGCACTGTCCTCCCTCCTTCCCTCACTGGAGGGGAAGCATCAGGGAGCGGAATGGAATTCTATTCAGATACACGGCCATTTCTACAGAAAGTACATTCTGTTCATCATGTTTTACTAAGAAATGCCAACTCGTGAATTTTCCTTGTGTTTATAAAGAAACAATCCTTCATTCCAGCTTCTGGCATTCTTGAAGGCTAAAATCAAGCCTAACACACATTCTATGTGCTACTTTTCCCCCTAAGACCACTATACAACAAGATCCTTACTTGGCGATAACAGGAGACAGGAAAAGAGAAAAATAACACAGTAGACAAGAGGGGTAAAATGCAATGAGAACAGAGGGGATGGCGGCCAGTGCCCTGATTCACAAGCTGGGATGTGAGATTAATGTCCCTTGCTTCCCCTTCCCCTGGTCCCTCCTGCAGCTGTGTGCATCTTTCCCCAGTACTCAATAGAGTGGTTTCCTGACAGTCTTGAGTGAAATAAGCTCTGACAATTCCTAAGCACCTCTAAAGTTCCTGATACGTGGCCATTCATAATTTTGCCAAGGCACAAACATGAATCTTTGTGGCCCACAGTGCGTGAGTGGGCCCGGCTGCCCACGGAGCAGGCCAGCCAACCAGCTCTGAAGGTCTCTGCCTGCTACCCCCTACGCAATGCATGCAGAGACCCCACACAATGTGGCACTAATGGCTCTCGGATCTGAGATGGTTTCGGGGTGTATATTTCACAACCAAAGGCAAGCCCAGACAACCCCTCACCACTTTTAATTTGTATGGCTGGCCAAGCAGGGAGCAGAAGCAAAGGACATTTGTTGGTGACATTTTTTCTTTATTACAAAATATTGTCCCCCCTCCTCCAGTGGTGAATGGGACTTCTATTTGATACTGCAGAACTGGCAAAGAAGGTTAGCACAGATGAGATGTCTCCTTTTCTCATGAGTTTACCTGAAGCACTGTCCACTCAGCAGTCTACCACAATGTATTTGATAAGTGACTACTGCCTGCCACGTGATGGGGGCACAACAGTGGGTAGGGCAGACAAGGCCCTGCTCTCATGAAGCTTTACATCAAAGAAAAGACAATAAATGAATAAACAAGAAAATACAAGGAGTGATTAAGTCTTCTGCAGAAAGCAAAACAGGGTGATGTGACTGTGAAGCTTGGTGGCACATTTGGGGGAGGCCTGTCCAAGGAGGGGACACTTGGCTGAGACACAAATGATGAGAAGCTTCTTAATGAAGAGCATAGTTTAGGAATAAAAGCTATGAAAATATGGGGATTTAAATCTAAAATCCATCATTTTTCCATAAGCAGGAAGACTTCCAATGGCAGTCTTGTTAGACAAAGAGCCACCTATAGATCTCCATGAATAATCAACATGAAAAACACATACATTTTCTTTTCCATTGATTAGAATATCATGTAACTGGGAAAATTACTATTCTGTTTTTGTTTTTGTTTTTTTGAGTCTCTGACATGGTCCGGATGTTGTCCCCTCTAAATCTCATGTTGAAATGTAATTCCCAGTGTTGAAGGTAGGGCCTCGTGGAAGGTGTTTGAGTCATGGGTGGATCCCTCATGGCTTGATGCTATTCTCATGATAATGAGTGAGTTCTCGTGAGAGTGAGTTCTCGTGAGATCTGGTTGAGTGTGGCATCTCGCCATGGACTCTGTCTTGCTCCTTCTCTTGCTATGTGACACTCCTGCTCCCCCCTCTACCTTCCACCATGACTGTAAGCTTCCTGAGGCCCTCACCAGAAGCTGATGCCAGCACTATGCTTCCTGAACAGCCTGAAGAACCAAAAGCCAATTAAATCTCTTTTCTTATAAATTACCCAGCCCCAGATATTTCTTTATAGCAATGCAAGAACAGCCTAACACAGATTCTAAACTAGCCAAAATTATATGCAATACTTTTATCACTACCCCCATCACCCAGATGATGTTTACCGAGCATCTTCTATATTCCAGGAACTACTGGGTACTACATCAGAACCTAGGGAGAGAATAACTAGTAAGACACAAGTTCTATCCTTCAAAGAGCCCTGTCAACAAACAGATGAATACTGTTGGTGTTGGTCTGAGAGGGGTTTGGAGTAGGATATGCACAGTGCTGGCTGAGCGCGGTGGCTCACACCTGTAATCCCAGCACTTTGGGAGGCCAAGGCAGGCAGATCACCTGAGGTCAGGAGTTCGAGACCAACCTGGCTAACATGGTGAAACCCCATTTCTACTAAAAATACAAAAAATTAGCTGGGTGTGGTGGTACATTCCTGTAATCCCAGTTACTCGGGAGGCTGAGGCAGGAGAATTGCTTGAACCCGGGAGGTGGTGGCTGCAGCGAGCCAAGATCACGCCACTGCACTCCAGCTTGAGCAACAAGAGCGAAACTCCGTCTCCAAACAACAACAAAAAAAGATACACATAGTGCAGACCTGAAGGAGCAAGAGCAATTGATCACCTGTGCTTTGTGATGCCACAGTGGCTGGAACTGTCTTGTCTCCTCAGTTGTACGGTTTTATACGAAAGGCATCATTTGCCTCAGGTATCAAAGCCTGTTATTTTAAATCCAGCTCTCCCAAGCCTCAGGAGCCCGTACAACTCTTCTGGCCAATTAAGACAAGACTGTGGCTGGGCGTGGTGGCTCATGCCTGTAATCCCAGCACTTTGGGAGGCCGAGGCGGGCGGATCACGAGATCAGGAGATGGAGACCATCCTGGCTAACACGGTGAAACCCCGTCTCTACTAAAAATACAAAAAATTAGCCAGGTGCGGTGGTGGATGCCTGTAGTCCCAGCTACTCGGGGGGCTGAGGCAGGAGAATGGCGTGAACCTGGGAGGCAGAGCTTGCAGTGAGCCGAGATTGTGCCACTGCACTCCGGCCTGAGCGAAAGAGTGAGACTCCGTCTCAAAAAAAAAGAAAGTGCCAGCCTAGGCAAGTGGGTGGCACAAGTGTGGGGCACATTTGCAGGCTCCCCACACGAAGCACGGTGACCTCCTGGCATAACAAGTTTCTCACAGAGTTTTTCCAAATGGAAACCCGAACCAATTTTGCATATGGTATCACATACTAATGTCAAACAAGATGAGACATTTAGTGAGTAGAAAACAATAGTAACTGAATTTACTTCATACCCATAATATTTCTTGGGAGTTCTCAGGATGAGTTAAAAAACAGGAGAGAGGGGAGGACACTGTCTGAAAGCATTTTTTGGGCACAGTTGGGTAGATGCCATCCTACCTCACTTCTGGAGAAGACACTTCTCCGTGCTCACAATTCTTACTGCCCATGTTGCATACGGACCTAAGTCAGCCTTTCGAGAGACTCATGAATTCTGAAAGGGGGGTAGTATCAGGGAACCACTGCCTGCGCACCTGCTCTGGCTTGCGCACCTGCTCAAGCGACATTGATCTTGTGGCTTCCCGTCTGTTTACCCAAAACCTGAAATCACAGTAACCATCTTTACTGAGTCTGAGTTTATTGCTATTATTATAAATGCCAAGGAGCCTCTCAACAGCATTTCCTGGTGGTCAGATATCTGAGGTTTCACAATTACACTTTTCAGAAACCGATGTTTATTACAGGGAAGACTGAGGACATTTGAAAAAAGAGAAAGAAGTATTACACTGAATAACACTGCCTAGTCAAATACTGAATAGTCAAAACCCTGTTTGCAGATGGATGGATACCTTGCCATGCCACCCTTGGCAAAGATTCTTCCTCTGGTGGTTGGTAGTCCTTATCATCTACAACACAAAACCACCGAGGCTACACATGTGGTCTGAAGCAACATGTGCAAGTATTACATTATAACTAAAATACCAGTTTATTTTATTTATTCTAAACTCTCCCACTCTCCCACTTTTTAACTTCAAGGGGCATTCTTTGTGATGTGCGTAGGTCAGAACTATAGGATTTGAAACCACACATAATATTCTCTATTTTCATTTTTGAAATCTAAGAATTCTCATCAGTCCATTCTGATAGGAAGATTTCAGAGTTTTGATCTCCGTTCCATAAAAAACCAAAAAATTATCTTTAAGCCTGTGAGCCTGCCAATGCTTGGGATTGTGCTGAATGAACCCAGGTGTCTACCTGCCAAGGAATAAAAGGAAAATATGACTGCTTTTCAGTGTCACTGGTTATGTGGCCTGTGAACTGTGTGTTCAAAAGCCCACTGTCATTTTTTTTTCTCACCTGGGCCCTTAAATAAATTTTCTTCTGCAATCTACCAATGACAAAAACAAAGGTCCTAAAGGCAAGGCAGAAATGTTTCAGAAATATTCTCAACTGCTGGATCAGGTGATATTTGCATACCTCCAAGTTGAAGACATAAAGATACAGCACATTGCAGTGACTTCACAGGAAATATACATGAATCATGACATGAATTACATCCAAAATGAGCTTGTTAAGTATGAAGATTAAGATCTTAGTCTCAAGAGAAGAAAGATTGAGACAGATTCAAATCTGTAACTTTTAAAAGCTAAAAATACCTGAAAGAGAAGCCTGTGACTATGATAATTACATGTAGAAAAGGTGCAGAGATTAGGTCTTCCAATATTCACTGGGAAGAGATGGGCAGTTACTGGTGCTTTGCCCTGCTACCCTCCCTCCAAATTATAAACAAAATCTGATTGAGTCTCTCCTGGTGAAAGATTCTCTTTTCCCTATGAATGCTCTATGTTTTAAAGTTTAAAAGAAGAGTATCTGTGCTTTCTGAGTTTTCTGCCCAACTCTATCTACACAGCAATTCAAAACCATCTGGAACCAACCTCTGCTCCAAGTTTTGAAGTGAAGCTATATCTCTCTGAGAAACTAAGAGAAACTACTGGGCAACTTCAAATATTCCTCATTTCTCGCTCAAAGACATCTTCTGGGCATTAACACTCACATTTCAGCTTTTTGGGCTGCTCTAGTTTTTGACTGTCAAACTATTCTTAAAGAGTGGTATCTTCTTAGAGAGGGTCTACAGAATGGCCAGAAACCATAGAAAGAAGAGGATTATTAAAACCTGTCTTGAGTAGATCTTAATGGTGCAAAAGTGATACATACTCGGTAGAAATCATAATTCAAATTTTGAATTTTGAACTTTTCCCTGGCTAGTGATAGGCGGTATGACACTCTGTCGCAATGCTGAACTGGCAGTGAGTCACAGCTCCCAGTCAGCCACGCACGAGATTCCATGGGTAAATAACTGATATTGTATAGTGTATTGTGTTGCAAGATGATTTTGCCCAATTAGAGGCTAATGCAAGTGTGCTGAGTACGTTTAAGGTAGGCTAGGAAATGCTATGATGTTCAGTAGGTTAGGTCGCCATATACGTGGTCAACTTACAATATTTTCAACTTATGGTGGGTTTATCTGGACATGGCCCCATCGTAAGTCAAGGAGCATCTATAATCACATAGGCGATTGTGGTAGTCAGAAGGCCAGGGAACTAGAGGCCTCCAAACAATTAGATTCTGGAAGCTTAAACTTTCCATGGACAGGAGGTTGGAAATCAGAAGTCTTTAGGGGAATACACTTCAATACAAATTACCTCCAGTTTTCTGATTTATATTTTGTTAGTTCATCCATCAAGCCTAGAGAACTTTTTCCGAGTAGTTTCTTAAGTGTAGCTATTGGAGGAGATGTATCACCAAATAAGAAGGTTTCTTTAAAGAGAGCAAATGGCAAGGAAAACTCTTAGTGCTTTTTCTAGAGAAGTAAAAATGAAGACAAGTGAGGCAGTTTTCAGCTAGGACAGTGAATGAACAGTATAACTTGACTGTTTCCTAATTGTGCCTTTGAACACATTAAAAAAGGATACAGTTCTCCAGTATATGACTAAACAAACTACGGTACATCTAGATGACGCAATATTATTCAGCTGTAAAAAGAAATGAGCTATCAAACCATGAAAAGACATGGAGGAAGTTGAATGCTTATTACTAAGTAGAAGAGGCCAGTCTGAAAAGGCTGCATACTGCATGATTCCAACTATACGACATTCTAGAAAAGGCAAAACAATGGAAATAGTAAAAAGATTAGTGGTTGCCAGGAGCTAGAGGGGAGGGAGGGATGAACACGCAGAGCACAGAGGATTTTTAGGGCAGTGTAACTACTCTGAATGATACTGTAATGGCGGATACATGTCATCTTACACATTTTAGAAACACACAGAATGTACACCACCAGGAACGAACCCTAATGTAAACCAGGGCCTTTGGGTGATAAGGATCTGTCCACATAGGTTCATCGATTATAACACATGTACCACTGCCACTCTTTGAGGGCAGGGGTTTGTTGACAGTGGGGAAAATGTGTTGAGGAGGTATATGGAAAACCCCTGTATTTTTTGGTGTGAACCTAAAACTGCTCTAAGAAGTCTATTTTTTTTTAAGTGAAGCTAACAAAAAAAAAAAAAAAAAAAAAAAAAAAAGGACATACATCTTTCACCTGGAAACAAAATGAAGGGTAGAATGTAAGACCAACATAACACACGTACCACAGAGAGTTCACAAGCACACTTCAAACACTGTAAATGAAATAACACTTGCAGGAAAATAGAGGTTCATTGGTTTTACAAAAGCTTTTAAGAGGACATTGAAGTTACCTTTTACAAAAAAGAGAAAACAGCTGGAGAAATATTAGGAAAGTGGCCTAGGTCTGGCTGACCTTTCACATGGTTGTCAAGAAGGCGTTTAAAGGTTTCTTCAATTTAGGTAAATGGACTCTTTATAACAGGCAGGTTATTATGTTACTTAAAGAAGTAGATTAAGAATTTTATGAGATAAGGTTCATTTCCAATTATGTTAAACATTGGAAATATTATTAGAACTTTGATTTCATTTAGCCTGGGACTTCTAAGTGTATTATGAAGTTCGAATTGGTTCTAAAGATATTTTCTGTGATGAAATGAAAAAAAACTTGGCAATGAATAGATTTCTGATTAAATTCCCATTTTTTCTGTACAAAAATAACTATGTATAAAGGAAATAAGGCTAACATAAAAAAAAGTGCCCTTAAAAACTGACATTAATGAAGACTTGACACTACATAAAAATCAAAGATTTTTAGGATTTGAAGGAAAATCATCTAGAAATCGTCAGGTTGACCTGTGACTAGTAAGTTGAAATAAGCGGGGACACAAGAGAACACACGTCATCTGCACAGGAACACAAAGCCGCCCACGGGTAAAGCCCAGTCTACAAGCCAGGTCTCCCGAGGCACACGTGCCACCTCCCCATCTCCAGGTACTGAACTGCACGAAGAAACTGAAGGCTAGAAAACCAGATGTCCCTCCTTGCTGTCACCCACTGGAAAACCCACTCCTTACATCAGTCTTTTCTTTTTTTTTTTAAATCAGGCTAAAGACATTTTTTTCCTTTATAGATATGATAGCTGAGATATGATGCAGAAGTCACTATTGGACTTGACAGAAATATCTAACATGAGTTTCTCAATTGCTTTCAAAATAGGTAGTGTTACCTAACTTTTTCAAAATGTCCACTCTGGGGCTTCTATATTTGAAAATTATTTAAAACACCAAATAATATATATTTAATAAAAACAAAAACAAACTCCTAAATCACTCCACCCTCAGAGCTCAATGAGGCAGGAGTTGTGCGATCAGCCCACCCTCGGCGCTGGCCAGGGAGCAGCCAGCCCCTCACTTACTTCTCAGGCTCCCCATGCTGGGTGCGGGGTGGGCCCGCGGAGGCAGCGTGCTGTGGTAGGGTGGGGTGGTGCTGAACAGAATGTCGTTGGGCAGGGCCTGGTCAAGCACGGAACTCCGGGAACTGCCAAAGGAGGACCCCCTCCTGTTGCTGCAGATGCTCTCGTCAGACAGCGTGCGGTAAAGCGACCTCCTTGGAGACAGGTTCCCATAGAACGAAAACTAGGGTTTAAACAAGGTGCGAGGAGGGAACAGACATTAAAAAAACGAATGCACGGGGCTTGTTGGACTAAGTCCAGTGGTTTCACATACTATTGTGATAGCTTCTTTGAGTTTTCTCTGTTAGCTCAAGAATGCCAAACGCAGCATGCAGGGGATCAAGGCAAATACACCAGGGCTTGGGTGCAGTTATTAGATTTTATGTTTTCCTCCTTTGACATTCTATGAAATATTATCATGAATTAGACATGCACAGCTTTATTAACTCTGAAATGTTAAATAAAACCTCCATAACCTTATAGCAGTGATAGTTCCTGGAGTTATATAAGGTTGCCATTTCAGGCAATAGTTATTCAAAGCTCCACATAATACTGGTTTGATTTTAATTTGAAATGACTACATTGTAATATTAGGCAATTTCTCTACCAATCAACTACATGTGAGGTTCAATCTAATCTAAATAATAATAAGACTAATTGTGAACATTGAAGCTTTGCCGGCCACATAAACACATTTCCAAAAATCAGCAGCAGTCCAATAAAGTCTTACTGTCCACTTAAAAGTGTCACTTGTGGCCGGGCACAGTGGCTCATGCCTGGAATCCCAGCACTCTGGGAGGCAGAGGCTGGTGGATCACGAGGTCAGGAGATCAAGACCATTCTGGCTAACATGGTAAAACCCTGTCTCCACTAAAAATACAAAAAATTAGCTGGGCATGGTGATGCACGCCTGTAGTCCCAGCCACTAGGGAGGCTGAGGCAGGAGAATGGCATGAACCTGGGAGGCGGAGCTTGCAGTGAGCCGAGATCGTGCCACTGTACTCCAGCCTGGGCAACAGAGCAAGACTCCGTCTTGGAAAAAAAAAAAGTATCACTTGCCAAAGTCTGTATAATTGTTGAAAATTGAGTTACAATAATGGATCATAACCAGACTTAAATGAACCATTAAAATTATTGTTGTGTTTAATTACAGATAGGGTAAGGAAAATTCTTACTAAGAAATGAGTGGTCAAATACTCAAGAAAAGTTAAATCAAATCTGAATTTTCAACTACTTCCTTTGCATACTGAACCACAATCCTTTTAGGTAAACAATAGTAAAAGCCAGAATGTTCACATCATCAAACAAAGAAATGGCTATTTACATTTATGAATGTAGCAGTAAGTCTAAAAATATTCCTATTGTGTGTGTTCCTTCCATTCTGTCAAGTCTTTCCAACTGATGAAAGGTAACTGGAATGTGTGTGAGTTACAAAGTTAAATTTACATCATGAAAAGAAGGTGATTTGTCTTAGAAGAAAAAACACATGTCAAGAAGTTCAACCCTCCAAAAAGAAAAGCTATTTACACTCTTTGTACAACAGTCTGCCTTTGCACCCAAGCTTATACAGTATCATGTACATGACTTGATGTAAGTTTTTTAAAAAAGACTCATTATGATGGAGTTCTTATGGGATTCCCTCCTCACACACCACCAGCAGGTTCTTCAGAACTTGATTACAGGCATATCAGATTAAAGCAGCTTTGCAGTAGTGTCTAATTAGAGTGTTGTTCTAAAAACACAATTAGGTTAATTGCAGAATTGTTTTACTATAGGGAAGACAGAAGCACAAAGACCTGCAGTTTACCCTGATCATGGTCAGTATGGCAATACCTGATTTCCTTTTTCCTTTTCATATGAACAAGAGGGAGTGCTGGATTAGAAGTGAGAGACAAGGACTCAGTTGCTGACTCTGGCACCAAATATTTATGAAGAGCTCACATTTTACCATCTGGGGCCTCAGTTACTTGCTAAATGGGGTGATTGGGCTAAATCGCCTTTAAGTCCTTTTCAGTACTTTAAATTGTTTAGCAAAGTGGCTTAAGAGATTGCAATAATAATGAAACTGAAGCCAATAAGCAAGCTAACATTATCGAGTACTACATTGTGAATGACAAAGGTATGCCACTGAACTTGGGGTTGGTTTATGAGATTTAAGCATGACCTTCCCTATGATCTCTGCATATCTCTAAATGGCAGTGTGCAAGTTCCAACCCTGTTTAAAATGCCCAGCAGTGTGCTGTCTAACTCCAGTTCAGTTCTGGAACAGGATTACATTTAAGGAGAGACAGCTTGGAGCAGAGGCTAGAGCTCTGGAACAAAAGTCAGGTGGTGTGAATTTTAACAGCTACTGTTCACGATCACTAGTTATGTCCAGGAGCTGTACTAGGCTCTTCAGACATCACTTCTTATCTTCACTGTAACTTCACAATTCAGTTATTATGATCTCCTTTTTTCAGATGAGAGCATTGAGGTCAAGAGGCCAAGTCACTTGCATAAAGTCATGCAGCTACCCATTGCTGGAGCCAGGATTTGAGGCTAGGCCAGCCGGACTTTCAGCTCTATCTGAGGTTTTAAAAACAGCCTTCTTAACCTCTCCCAGGCTCCCTTCACATACTGATACAATCAAAATTGGCAACGGTCAACTATGTGCAGTGAGTTGTTGGTAGGGTCATGAGAGATGAAGCATGTGGGAGTACTCTGGAAACCTCTGAGTTTCTTTAGACTTTTTTTTTTTTTTTTTTTTTAGTGTTTCTGGTAACTTCAAAGCTCCCTAAGTCACTAACCTTTCTTCGCCCCTCCTCCACTAAGGGGCTGTCAGGAAGCATCAATTTCAGAAAATCTTCTTTAGACAGAACATGTTGAGTCTCTGCAACAGCATCTCCCACCACTGTCTGATGCTGAGTTGCTGTGGACATGACATCCATCTCACTATACATCCTGTTGAAAACAATCAGAATGGAAATTAAGCCTATTTGTAAAGTGCCTGTAGTGGTAAGAATTAAAACCTAGGAAGCAGTTTCAACAGCCACAAACGCATACAAACACTTCTTAGGTCTTAAGTCAGTTCACTTTTGCTGCGTTTGCTCCAAATTCCCATGCCATTTCACATTTGTGAAATGAGCTCAACTACAAAGTTAGATGTCTGAATAATTCAGACACAAATCAGATCCCCAAAGCCCAGGATGAAAAAATTACACAGCCAACTTTTAAAATACGGCTGTGTTTTCCCTTTCCTAATCTGTGTCAGAAAACACAGTTTCAATAATTCATCAGAGATGATCATATGTCTTTCGAAGCAACGCTTGTGTGCTCTCGCGGCTGGACAACCAGAGCCCCGATGGCACCCAGGCAACAGAGAGGAAGCCACCCGAGGGAGCCCGGGGTTTACGAGTCATCAATTCACACGTGTGCTAAGCATGTTTTATTATCAGCAATTTCACAAAGCTGTTTGGATAAAGCAGCCGTCTCCCTTAATTATCAGTATATAAAAATGTATTGACAGACAACAAAGGAGTGTCAAGCTGAATTACTGTTTTTAGCTCCTTTACAGGGACAAAACTGGGGAATCATTCTAAAAAGGTTTACTCTGAAAATACAGTCTGAGCAACCAAATATTCCTGAAGACACAGTAAACAGTCAGCGGCTGCACTGTCAGTGGAGGCAAACAGTCTTTGCCACACAACCTGAAACATAACACTCTAGGAATTCACAGCCCACAGCAACGAGCTGGAGAATGACCTGAATGTTATTGCTGTGTGCCTCTGAGATGACTCTTGATTTCAAAAGCCAGGCTATCTTATAACTGTATGACAGCTCACTGGGAAATTGCTAGAATAAGAAACATACACAAACATGCTCAAAATTAAGAAGGATTTCTCTAAAATCCTCTATGGCTTTATTCCTGAGGTAGGACAGGTTTCCCTGTACCTCTCAGTTCTTGAAGCACAAGCTACAGTTACAACATGAACAAATAGTGGCTGTAAAAAAAAAAAAAAAGAAGCATTTCATAACTTTTAAAACATTACTGAAGATTTAGTTGGTTTGTGGGATGGCATGACATAAAAATGGGAGCTACAAGAAGAAACCAAGACGCTGGAGGGCTTTTGCACAAAAGCCACATAAGGAAAACAAAACAATATAGTTTTTACGAAGACTGCATCCAAGAAGCGCCCAACATTCGATCCTGAGGTGAGTTAGGTGGTGCTCAAGAGCTCCAGGCCGTATGTGTTTTGGGAAAGATGCGGGGAAAAATCCCAGGTCCTACCAATAACTGCATGGATAAAAATATTACATCCATAATTACGATTACAATGTGCTGTTCTAGTTTCTATATACGTTTATAGAATATGTGTTAAAATATGTGTTTATAAAAAAACACTAGCTTTCTCTGCTAAACTAGTAATTTAAAGAAATTATCCAATGACGTGTCATAAATACGCTCTGAGGATTTACTCTGTGCCTGCCACCGTGAGTAGTGAAGTTAAGCAGGACAGGGGGCTTGCACAGGACCTCCAGTCCGGGGGTGTGTGCATGTGGTATGTATGTGGTATATGTTCTGCAGGCTGAGATGACCAATCAAGTGCGAAGACACTGTAGGAAGTACTGAGCTAGCGGGTGCAGAGAACAATCCCCTTTGGGAGGGTGCTGGCCAGGCTCAGAAACTCACAAAGGACATTTAGGCAGAGGGAACAGCATGAATGGGTGCACAGAAGCCTGAGACAGAACTGCTCATTCGCTGATATTATTTAAAAATGTAAGATGATATTATTAACAAAATTAACAGTAGGGCTTCCACAATATGATTTTGAGAAATAACTGGTCTATGTGAAACTTCTGGAGAGCACAACTGATTTCTTCTTCAGTGCACAATGAGACACTAAAAATATGATGTACTTGGCTGACTGTTTTCTAAGCATATCTTTCAGCAATCCGGTAAAACACTGTTTTGATAAAACTTCAAATCTAGTTAGTGCAGTCCTGTATGACTGCCTTGCCTTAGAAACACTCTGTGTTGCTGGGCAGAGCCTGGGGCACCTGCTCCATCTGCCAGGATGAGCCGGCACACTGACCAGGAGCCCTGGTCTCGAATCCCAGCACCGGCCTCTTGCGATAACCAGTTTGAGCTCAAATCCTCCCGATAAAATGCAGCTTAGGACAGAAGAACTTCTACAGCCTCTCCCCTCCCAGGTATACCCAAGAGCATGTGTGGGGACTGCCATTTGCCCTTCCATACCACAGGGGTCCCCAGGTGGGGAGCTCCAGCGGAGACACAATCTCAGTCTCCTCTAGTGTGCACACAACCTGCGACTCAAGAGACACAAACCCCTTTCTCACCTCATTCTGGACACTGCCTCGCTCTCACTGAGCATTAGTGCCATCAAACCAGTGCGTGGAAATGCATAAACCCTGGGCTTTTGCATTAAAACTGTCCGAATGGGCTCCTTTCACACTTCCCTGACTTTCCAAAAGAGTCCTTCGCCTAAACATAGTACTACGGCGACATATAAAATGCTTCTAAAAATATTTCACAGAACTTAAAAAAGGCTTGGAATGAATTCCCGTGAAGCACTCAGAAGACTCTTATTAGACAGAAATACCAATGTATCATTCTACCATTTTCATTTATAATAAAAAGGGCTAGTTATCACTATGAAATTCCTTCCTAAATAAGCCATTTGCAATGACTGACATGATTTTTTTAACAAAAGATTCCATGTTCAATTTAAGCACTAAAAGAATTTTTAATTTAGAAGGCAATATCATATGAGCTGTATTTAAGACACAGGATCATTTTTTTTAAGAGAAAAAAGTGATACTAGTTCACTGGCAAAGTGTAAAATCTGGAGGCTCTCTCTGAAGAGCCATCCCAGTGTGGGTGCAAGCCACGCTCAGCACCACACGCCTGATGACGCTATCGCAGGCAGGTACAGCAGAGCACACAGACCTGATCATTTAGCACGAGTATTCTGTTAAGCTTCTTTACGAAATAAGCAAATAGTTCCTTAGCCCCAGCCAGCCTTGCTCTGCATTCTTGAATGCAATTTATTTACCTGTCTCTTCACAGAGGCATCAGCATAGTTTTCACAAGTGTTGTAAGATGGGTTATCAGTATTTTTAAATCTTTTTCTTTTTCAAACAGATACAAAGCATCCTTTCCTACGTGCCCACCACGCCCCCCTCAACCTCAAACCTAACAACTAAAAGGAAAATTGGAAGTCATGCTAAAATTAAGAAAAATACTTTTTGTTTTAGGATGTCACTTACACGGCAACTTTAAGGAACACACAGGACTCTGTGGGAATTTGAACTGCCTTTGACCTGGTGTATTTATAGAGACGCTATACTCACACCATCAGCAGCATGTTACCATGACTTTTCTATTGCAGGCAGATTTGAATATAAAAGCAAAGAACACAGATTTCTTTTCCTTTTTTTATGTAAAAATCAAGAGAATAATTTTATAGGGAAATATAAACATCAACATTTAAAGAGTTTAAGAAAGATGTTTTTAGATTATTCTTTTTTAGAAAATACATTTCCTTTGGGAGGAAAATACATTTGCTTAGTCAATCCCTACAGTGAAAAATGCTGACCAGAGAAGAACAGCCAGCCACCTTACCCGGGACATTCAGTCACTTCAGGCTCCTCGGGCGGTGGGCTGCCCTCCGATTTCTTCCAGCCGATGACATATTTGTTCACTGCCCCTTGTCTGTGGTAGGGCTTGGACATGGACCCGGGAACCTGTTGTCCGCTGCTGTGAGACACGATGTAGACTTTGGATGAATCCAGAGACCCACTACTTTTTGAACAGTGAGCTGAAGGGCTTCCTGAATGGTGAGAACCACTGAGGAGAAAAACAGACAAAAGCTGCAATACAATCTGATTTCAGCAGTGCTGGCACACGGCCAAATTCAGAGCCACAAGGCTTTACTCAAGTCTTTCTCCGAGAGCAAAATCGGGCCCAGTGAGGCAGATGGAGCCTTCTTTCTACCATGGAGCTTGCTAGGAAGCCTCATTTTACGTAGGCTAAGGTTACTCACGTGCAAGTTGTATGCCTGTGGCAGGAAGGATGTTAAAAACATGGCCGGGGAAATCTGATAGAAAAATGGGCAACATTCCTAAACTGATTCTTCAAAAGAGAACAAACTCAAATGGTGAATATATTTGTCGGAGAAGGTGCTCAAACTCAGTTGTCTCCAGGGAAATGCCAATGCAAACCACAATGGAATAGCATTACATACTCACCAGACAGGCAAAAATGGGAATGCCTGACAATACCCAGTGACCCAGTGTTAGTAAGAACTGGGGCAATAGGTACCTTCCTACTGCTGGTGGGAGTAAAAAGTGCATGAAACAGTTTGAGCATTACCTATGAAGGTGTGTGCACCTGCAGAGCTTACGATACAGCAATCCCACTCCAAGGGCGCACACACACAGCAAACCCCTGCTGCACGTGCAACTGTCAACATGGAACAATGTTGATTAGAAGCACTGATTTTAAGAACTCCCCAATGGCAGCAACCCAAATCATCAATAGTAGAAGGATATTCGATTAATAACTATGAATGAATACACGGAATACTCTACGAATGAATGGACTGAGGCTACAGACGACTTGGGCGATCTCATGAACAATGTAGAGAAGAAGCAAGTCACAAAGAATACAATGATCATGAGCCAGTTGCTTAATAAAGTTCATAAACAGGTAAAAGTAAACAACATGTCATTCAGGAAAATGTAAAGAAAATGAGGGGATGATTATCACAAAAGCCAGGTTAGTGGCTACCTCAAGGGAGAAGAGAAGGGGTTGTAATTGGGTAGGATGCAGAGAGCTTCCAGACACAGCAATGTTCTAGTCCTTAACCTGGTGGTAGTTACAGGGGTGTTTGCTGCATTATCATATGATACAACAGCAACAATACTGAAACAGACAGAGGCCCTAAAAACAATAAAAATTTTCAAGGTTAGTAATTAAGCTAAGGCCAGAAGGACTACCCACCCCCGGCTGACTGAGAAATTAAGTGGACAGTTAACCACCACCAGAAATATCTTTTTCTTAAATTAGAAAGATCAACAATATGTTTTATGAAAAACAAAAGTTACTTTATAAATATGAAAAATTTTAAGAGTTTAAATTATAGGTCTAATCTCAGCGTTCAGAAAGGCAGGTGGGCTTCACTTTCAGCAAACTTGACACGTGAGTGCAATGCGAGGATTCCGGGTCTCAACATCAGCTCTGTCCATTACCACTGCCAGACCCTGGGCAAGTTTCTTAACCTCAGTTTTCTCATCTGTAAATTGAGGATAATAACAGTATCTACCTCCGAAGGTTTCTCTGAAGATAATCTGAGTTAATATTAGTGAAGCACTTAGAACAGTGAGTAGCATAGGGTAAGCATTATATAAACGTAGTTACAGAAAGTGACCCAGCAAAGGATTATTCACGAGTAGGAGTCCTTTCTATTGAAAGAGTTTAACACAGGGTTCCCGCGGTAGCAAGCTCCTCCAGTATGCTGTAAATATAATCTTATTCTGAAACCCCAGGTGAGCACAGACCTTTTCTGATACATGTATAAAGCAAGTCTCATAAAAGACGAATAAAGTATAAAAATAAGAGTGATATTAAAATGAACTTTTTGTAGAGGTTCAAGAGGAAATAAAGACACAAAATAAACGGACCCATTTTCAGGGTCTCTGCGTTTTGGAAAACACTGCGGTATTAAGTAAAATTAACCAACCAACAAACAAAGCGCCTCATCTACTCCTATGAAGAAACTTAGTTGCTGGTGGCTGGTCTGGTGCCCTTGAGTATGACTGATGGCTCCCTCTCTCTGGGTGCTAACTGTGGGTCTCGGGAAGACGCTGCACTGCCTCTACAATGACATCCACACACATGGAACACCAGGTCGGGAGAACAGTAAAGCAACATGACCAAGGTGACCTGAGGAGTAAGGCAAGCAATCAACAGGCATGAATAATAGGAGCTAATGGACTCTTCCCATTCACTGGGGTGCACGCCAGTTAGGGAGCCCTAACATGAAAACTGTGTGTCTAGACAACGAGCTCTGACGCCCTGTATGTTATTTTCCCAAGTGTATTTTGAAAAATTTCAGAGCTACAGAAAAGGGAAAGGATAGTAGCATAAACATCCACATACCCTTTTTCAAGATCCACTAATTCCTCTCTGAACCATCTGATAATTAGCTGCAAGCCTAAAGACATCATCATACTCCTATATTTCAGCATTCATTTCCCAAGAATAAGGACATCCCCCCAGTAGTTAACCAAGTGATGATCATGTACAGGACATCAGGCATTAATGCAATACTGTTATCTAACAGTCCACATGCTAGTTTCCCCATTGTCCCAATAAGGCTTATGGCCTTAGTTTCCCCATCAAGAACCTGATGAAGGACTGTGCACTGCCTTCCACTACCCGTGTGTCTCATGTATTTTAAAGCCTTGGATGATCCCCGAGATGTTTCGTTGTTAAAGGCTGGGGCACTCAAAGTCATGGTCTAGTTAATAAGCTGCATGTGTGTAGGTTACTCACCTTTCCCCCTTAAAATGACCAAAGCGTATAGTTTTGAAAATGTATAGGTAATGATAGCGTGATCACAAACTCTATGTATTTTTCCATTTGTTTTATAACATTTTCTAAAAATTAGATTTCATTAGAAATGTATTTTATCCCAACTGTAAGATGTTTTAAAGTTAACTTGAAGAACAAATGTACAGAATCCATTTGATGAGCAATGTGGCATAATTCCTTGTTTAGTAGCAGTCGTATCATTACAGAAGTGTTCTCTGATGCTGATAACATTCTAGAATGTTGTCCACAAACTTTTCATGAATTCTTTCCTTCTGGACTAATGCTCTTCTTTCGGAGTTATACTGCTGACGTCCAGTCATTTGTACCAGGAGAAAGGTACGGTGGCATGAATAATGATAAACAGCCCAACGTCGTGTGTGCCATTTACAGGAGAATCCAGAACATGGGGTTTGTTTTTGCAGTTGATTTATTTCATTTTGCAAAGCCTTAGTTAGGTTAGCATAAATACTGCTTGGTATTCTGAGCTCCTATCTAAATGCCCTGCCCTCGAAGAAAGAAAAAAAATGTGTTTGCTAAATTAAAAGAACTGAACAGCAGGAGAAAGCAGGCTAGATATATGCTTGTTCTGCTTAATAGATGATTCCTGTTCCCCTACCCTCTTCCTCACAAGAGTGTAACTTGTCTTGAAGAGTTGTAAGTCCTCCCTTTGCCTCCTTAGTACAATCTTGGAATCATGCCATATACACAATTCTGTACTTATTTAACTCCCGGGTGGCTGCCAAGGAATGTGCGTGTGTGTGCCTGGGGCTGGAGGAGGCTGCTATGGTGTCGGTTGTGAAAACCCAGAGTTAAAGAATTAAGAGTACACCATATACTGATTGGGGCTCCTGACACTGTGAACTGGGAATGGTGGATCCCACATTCCTCCTGCTTCCCTAGGTTACCCAGGCACTGGTTTATTAACTCCATCAATAAGCATTTATCAAGCACTTTTCCTAGTTCCTTTCTTTATTCAAAAAATATTCAGATGCCTGCCATGTGCACAGAAGCGTACTAAGTGTTGTGGATACAAGCGAACAAGATAGGCCACGACCCTATCAGCTCAAAACACGAATGCTCCAGTGAGGAGAAGGTGGCGATAAGTGGCCTTCTTGTGGGAAGGAATATGCAGTAAACACAAACAATTTTATTTAGGGGTGGGTGCTGTGAAGAAAATAACACACGGGTCAGGGGCACGGAGCACTTGGAGGCAGAAGTGTGGGTTTAGGCAGGATGGTCACCCCGGTCAGTTCCTGAAAGTTTATTCTGCTCTTCTGTTACCTGGGCTACTCCCAGTCACAACCCAAGCCCTCCAGCAGTAGGCCTCGGCTTGAGGGGACTGCAAGGCTGCCTGAACTGGGACAGGAGAGGAAAGCAGGGGGGCTAAGGGAGCCTTCCTCATGGCCACCCATGCCCCAGCTGGGGTTGGCATTTCAGAGTTTGCAGAATCTTTGTGTGGCTTGATAGGTTGGTCCCTCGTCCTCTAATGAGTCACCTGCCTTTCACTCAACACACAGAAAACAAGGCAAATGCTGTAAATCCCATCCCTCCTCCTCGCCTCCTGTGCAGCTCGGGGGGCACGCAAGAGGAAGTGTTAAAAAGATTTCATTCAATGACTGAATTCCATGCTGAGCAAAAGCCTAGGATGCAAGTTGAAATGTGGCTTCAAAAGCCACCATCAACGAAGAATTACAGGAAAAGGGCAGTCAAGTGGTAAAAGATTCCACTCACTCAACATCTATCACTTATACAACAGCTGGGCCACATCCAATTTAGAGTGGCGGAAGAAAGTAAAATCAATCAGAAATCCAATCTAGCACTGTCATATACTTTCTAATAGTCTAGCCCATTAAATTTGCCAATGGTTAAGGTAGTCATGAAAATCCATTACAAATACCGGTAAAAAGCCCTACCAAATATCAATAAACGAATGTACTCTGAAGGCAGTCTCCATAGAAATTTTACTTAATAATAATAATACAAAACTCTATTTGTGATGCCAATGACATCTGTCCAAAAAGGTGTCATGAAATCAGCTCTTTTACAAATCATCTCAACTTTGAACTAGATGTTAGCAGGTTGTGCAATCCCGAGATGGTCTCCACAGTATGACCACTATTCCTGAAATTAAGCCAGGAATAATTCAGATGACCAAATTCACTGATAATCCTTAATTATTATATTAGTTATTAGTACTAAACCTATTTTAAGTCAAATTATTAAATAGAACTGGTAAAAAAAGTAGTAGGAATGTCTATTTTGAAAATAATCTTCATATCCTAAGCTCCCTCTGCATGGTGGACACACATGATTTCTACTCTCTGGCATCCACTCCCCCTTCTCCAGGTCAAATAATGTCCTGCTTCTCTTCTGGGGCAGTGGCTGTATTTGCCATTCCTCAGCTGCACAGCTTGGTGACAGGGACTGACCCCCAGCCCAGGCTGAGGGCCCCAAGTGCCGTAGACGATGCTACCCCCTAACCACGTGATTAGAGCTAGGAACATGTGAGGAGATACGGGGGTGGTGTGGGGGCAGGGGTTGGCTTTGGAGAGGGCAGAAACCTGTTTCTTCTGCAGAAACTAGAAAAAAACCACTTTCTACCCGGGGACAGACGAGCGTGACTGTGGGAGGTCTGCAGGTGGCACAGCTGTTTTCAGCCAAGAGAAGAATGCTGAGATTTTGGGAAATGGTCATGTGGAGTGGGAAGATGGAGGCAACCTGGTCCTGGGCAGTATCATTTTGAGACGCTGGGTCAAGCAGAACCTTGAAGTGCTAGACTTGTTGTTTACATAAGCCCCAATATGACCCTGGTGGCATGAACCAATCAGCATGGAGTTTCTTTAACTTGTAATGTAAAGGTCCCTGAATGACACTCAGTATCCCCTGGCAGTGGTGGGGTGAGGGGGGACTTTGAAGGGGAGCCTGAGGAACATAAAAAGCCTTTCACCGTGACTGCTACAGGTCTGCCTTGAGCACCATCATTTGGAGAAATGCTCCCTCATAGCACTAGGTACCTGCAAGAAATATTCCCATTCTTAGTTCATCTGACTCTGCCCTCCAGCATTGTGGGCAGGAGTCAGAGAGTAACTTGGAGCTGAATCAGGGAAGGCCTTGGAAACAAGCAGAAAAATGACAGTGGTAGTTGCTATAAATAGTTAAATTCTGTCCACAGCCAAACTGAATAAATGCATTTCTTTGTCCTTTGCCTAGTCTTTGAAAGTGAAGGCAGAAATCGCAAATTAGGTATTTTAAAACCACTGCAGAGAAGTATGTCAAACAGGAGTTTAAAACCACTCATAAGGAGATATTAAACATCTACACTTACAGTACTTAGAATCCAGTTCCTTTACACTTAGCTAGTCTTTACTGAATGAACCCCAGCTGCAGAGCTGAACACACTTTCATTGTTATACACATGATCTCAGGCCTCCCCTGCTGTCAGGGCCGTAGGAACAGGGAGGAAGTGTGTGCATGCCCTCACGGCAGGGAGCTACATGTGCTCTACGCACATGCTGCCTTCATGGCTTCCTACTACTATGGTCTGAAGATTAGTGAGTGCCACCTCTTCTCCAAAACACGTAGGGACAACAGGTTGAATTAGGAGAGAGACATAAGTGGCCTGACTAGAGCGATTAATATCTCTATTGACTTTTCACTCAAACTTAATAGGAAAAAAAAAAAAACACCAACAAGGGACTTGTTAACATGCAAGCTTTGACATTTTCATATTGTAGAAACAAGCCCTTCCTCTGATGTCAGACAGCTAGGAAAAATTACACCAACCTACCTGATGCCCCTACTGCTTACAGTTCAGGCTTCTGCCCTATCCCAGCAGGCAGGGCCCAGGTGGCACCAGCAGGTACTACTCTGCAGTGCTGTGGGGCTTACCTGGAATGAGAGGATATCTCACTGAGATCGCCCATGCTGCCTTCCGCAGCACTGCCGGCGGAGATGGTGGACGCGTAGCCATGCACAGAATATAACTTGGCTGGCTCGTCGTCAGGCCCAGAGACGTCGGCAGCATCAGCCCACTGCTCGGCCCGGCTGTGGATCAGGGACCTGCTGCCTGCCAGGTGCACAGGGCCGAGGATGGTGGCAGGCATGCAGGGGGCCGTGTCGATGCCACTGTCGGTGGAGGCCCCTTTGATGTAGGTCAGCCCCAGTAATTCGGGGTCCATCAGGTCGCCAGACCCAAAGTGCTTGTCGTCACTGTTGCTGGAGGTGTTGCTGGAGAGCGTGTTGCTGCTGGAGTGACTGGAGCAACTTTTATCCCCAATCTTCAGAAGAAAGAGGAACAGAGAGTTCTCAAGTGAATCTTGAACTCAGGTGCTTCTCACCCTGACTCAGGGAGCTACAAGCCATGGGATCGCACCCAAGCCCTTTCTACTCACTCTTCAATGTGGGCAATGACAGGACTTCCTTTTTCAAAAACAACCTGGTTTTGTGCAGAAGTCTCTAATTCATACTTCTTCCCATAATTTATCTAAGTTAAATGGGTATCTTTAAGTCTTTAATTATTTGTGCATTAAGCACAAAACTATGGCCACAGTGTCACTAGCAAAGAAAATAATAAGCAAAGGTGATATAAACTGGGAAGGAACATGGGAAATTAATATAAGGAAGAGAAGGGCCACTTATTAAGAAAATGCTTCATGACAAATTATAGTGCCAGCCTTGAGTTCAGGGCAGAAGACTTAGGTTCCAGTCACAAAGGTAGGACTTTCTGGTTAATCACTTAACCCTCTCTGTGCTTGTAATACCGAGCTTACATGATTCCTGTGTGAAGCAAATGAGATAATATATGCAGAACCACTTGGCTGCTGCAAAGTACACGGTAAACACGAAGTATCTCTCTGAGACAGCCCCAGTCAAAGTGCGTCCCAAGCCTTTAAGAAATGGGAGTCTATTGAGAGTAAATAGGTCTGAAAAAGAGTCAATGCTTTTGGTTGGGGTGGGGAGTCTCTGGAAGACAAAAAGCAAATAGAATAGAAGAAATGTCCCTGTCTCTACAATGTACTCATACAGACACGGCCTCTCTTCACAGTCTGGGAAAAGCAACAAGATCTGAAGCATCAGCAAAGGGCTTTGGAATCATAAGAACGAGCCAGGCCCCAGTAGATTTTAAAGTGGTTTGGCCTTATCTTTTTTTATTCCAGCCTATCAGATCCTTAAGCAAATCACCTTGACCTTTTCATCATACACTGATATTCTCAAAACTACGCCCACACCATGTATCCCTTTGCTGAAACCAATATGAGAATATTGTAAAGGTGGATTTAAATAGATACGGTGAGGCTGACTCAAGACAAGGTCGCGGTCACAGCTGAGGGAAGAAATGTCACATGTGTTTGCTAAGGGACAACTGCAAAGCTGGCTGATGACACATTAAGAAAGAAGAAAGACATAACTTAATTCAGGACCTTATAAATTATCTTCACCTGAACATTTTCAAAAATAAGCCACTTTAAAATGTTGGCTTTATTTGTAATAACCAACAATTCCTGTTTCTGCATTTCAATGGAAGTTTTGTTTCACTGGGCTACAGTCTCCCTCGAGGCTCACCTCCCAGGGTTTCTTCAAGGGGTACACATGGCAACACATGCAAAGGACTGAGAACTACCACGTGGGCGGTGCTCTACCCTGACATGTGTAATGGGCAGCTGCGGCCGTGATGATTAAATCATCGATGACTGTACAGTAAATGGCTACCTATGGGCAGAGTTCCTCTGACCACACACACCGATTAGCAGTTTCTGCTTCTGTTTTGTGCCACTAAATGGATAAGTGGTTAACAGATTACAAATGGGAACATGATTTAGTAACTACTGCACTGGATATTGAGGATCAAAAGGCTGAGGATATAATTTTGGCTTTGCCACTAATTTGCTGTGCAACCTTTCTTTGAGGTCCTTTATAAATCAGGAAGATAGTTTCCTTTTTTAACCTCACCTCTAAGAGCCCTGTGAGGTAATGTGCTCTTGAGCATCCCCAGGAATCAGGCTGTACCACTGTGTGCTGAGACAGATCAGTCCTGGCTAGGCCAGTGAAGGGCTTATGAACAAAGGACTTACGTGAGAAAGCTTATTGGGGGAATCTTTGCAACTTCCATCTTTCTGCAGAGCTCTTTCTTTATAGGAACCCAGGACTTTGGAAGGTGGGCCATGCCATTTGGTTTCTGTCACATAAAAAGAGAGGAGTTGAATTTCCAATTTCCAGTATTACCAAAAGAGTAAAGAAAACCAGGAGTCAGACAAGTGGTTTGGTAAACATGAACAGGCTTGTGGTTCTGGGACTTTCTGGTCTTACCAATGGATATGTCACAAAAGTATACAGAACCACCACCATAAAGTGTTCACTTTCTGCAGGTGCCACAACCACAACCAACCATGACCACACCCCCTCCTGCATCTGGAGACCCAGCTGATCACCTCAACTTGGTGCACATAGGTTGAATGAGTGAATGAATAAAATGAAGTGATGGGAGAGGAGGGGGCAGAGAGGGGGAAAGGGGGAGCAAGGGAGGTCAATTTCCAGGAGTTCCTTATTACCCGGGTGCCTGCTTGCTTCCATGGTGTCTTCCCTCTCCCTGGCTCCGTCACATTCCAAAGGGCCTGAGCCCTGGTGTTCGAGCAGTAGAGGGGACTGGCACCTGAAAAGAACACAGAGTTGAGCCTGTCCTTTCTCAACCGTGCCACCTGCCAGCATGCACACGGGAGTGCTGGCTTCCAAGTAGGCTATGCGAGGGAAAGCCCTATCCAGGAGCTGGTTTTCTGGCAAATGAAAATGCAAATTGTCAGCTCAGCCCCGCCAGAGAAGCTAAAAGCATCTGAAATTGTGGGATCTGGTTTAACCAGAGGGTCAGAAAAAGCAGCCGGATGATAGCCATTTACAGATAAAGAAGGGCTGCTGACACCAGGAGGTTGAAGGACTGTCCAGGATCAAACAATGTACCTGCAAGCTACGGAGGAGGTCGCATTTTTACGTTACGCTTAGAATACATGGCACTGACATCTCTTTATATTAAATTTTTCTTAAGAAAAAAAAAAAGGGCCGGGCACGGTGGCTCCTGCCTGTAATCCCAGCACTTTGGGAGGTCAAGGCGAGCAGATCACTAGGTCAGGAGTTGGAGACCAGCCTGGCCAACATGGTGAAACCTCGTCTCTACTAAAAATACAAAAATTAGCCAGGCGTGGTGGCGAGCGCCTGTAATCCCAGCTACCCAGGAGGCTGAGGCAGGAGAACTGCTTGAACCCGGGAGGCAGAGGTTGCAGTGAGCCAAGATCATGCCATTGCACTCCAGCCTGGGCGACAGACCGAGACTCCATCTCAAAAGAAAAAAAAAAAAAAAGGAAAAAAAAGATTAACTCTAGACTACATCCAAGTAGACTTTGTTTTATGAAAACCCCAAATATGATAGAAATAAGTAGAAGAAAACTTATTGACATTACAAAGTGATCCTTATTTACAGAATTCTGGTTGAAGACCTTGGTTTACAGAAAAAGCCAGAAAAGGTTTTACTGTTTATACAAAAAAGAACACCAAAAAAGCCAACATCAAAAAATCCTCTCTTGGCTTAAAATGCAATTTAATTTAGAAAGTTGCTTGACATACAATTTTTAAGAACTCTGTCTATCATCTAAGGGAAGGAAAACATATAACTCAGACTACATATGGAGAGAAATTTCCCAGTGCACCTGCGGGAGCAGTGATATAAGCTGCTCCTCAGAGTGGAGTCCTTCCCACTGACCGGCCATTCTCTCCTCTCAATCAGTGTGACTAGCTCCTAACTCCAACCCAAAGCAGCACCAAGTCACAGTGGCCCCAGCAGACCACTCCTCAGGAGCGCACCCTGGTGCCATGCTCCCTCTTCTCTTCCCAGAGGTGGTGGGATTGGTCAACTCAGTGTCTTTGTTCACAGAAGTCCTCAGGCTCTGCCTGAGCTGCTGGCTACTGCGGACTGGACTGCGTGGATACTATAAAGGGCAGCTCTCAGCTAGGTGTGCTGGGGCAACCTCCCAGTACTTCTCAGACAGGAAGCAAAAAAGCCAAACGCTAAACCCACTTCTCTGATTTTGAGCGGCGTTTCCTCATCAGCAATTTAAGTCAGGAGGCAACTAAGCCCTCACATCCTTAATTTTCATGTTCTGAAAACCTTTCCTCATCAAAAAGGAAAAAACAGGCTGAGAACATCGACAAGTGAGCACTACTTACACAGAAATAATGAGCTTTCCAACCTGGACAAGTCACTTGTTAAAAGCATGTCTGGCATTATTATATTCCCCACATGGCCCCAGGTACAGAAGGCACACAGTAAATGCTTTTCAATGAGTCACAGAAAACAGGTTCCTCCCAGTGGATAACTAAGATAAAAATGAACAGTACCCGTCGTAGCCCACTTGTGGTCTCCAGGGTCCGCTCCCGCCGGGTCCAGGGTCGCTGGAGGATGACTGGTTGCTGGGTGAGCTTCTGAAAGGTTGAGTAGAATCATTAACAGGGCACTGAACTATCTGCCAAGCCCCTTGACCTGGCCTGTTTTGTTTCACAAATAAATATACTTTGAGAATGACAAAGAAAAGGAAGAAAAACATATTGCCATGTGAAACAGAATAAATCATGGAAAAATAAACTAAGTATCGGTGATGCCCAGGGATATCAGTGGTTTATGATTGGCAATTTGTCCTAGGAAAGAGGTATGACAGGACAGGCCCTCACTGTCTAAAGATTTAAAGCACAGATAATGACTCCCTCCCAGAGAAATACAGAAGAACAGCAATACAATTTCCGAGAATACAGAATTATGAAAACATTACTAATTCTTATTATGTGAAATTTAAAACAAGTCACGTTTTAGTTCTATACTTAAAACTTATGCAAAAAGAAAAACCTAAATTTGGCAAAACCATTTATTTTCACACATCTCTTGAATGTAATCCTATTTTATCTTTTTTTCAGACATGCAAAAATGAAAAATACTCATGAAAACTCACTTGATGAAGATGTGCTTGCCAAGTTTCCCTTTTGCTACTAGAATACTTCTGGTTTTCTCCTATAATTTACTTAAATTAGAATTACTTAAGTAAATTTTAATTTAATACAATTTACTTAAGTTATGATTATTTAAATTTACTTAAATAAGGGAGGTTCTGCAGATCCCCTTCCTTCTACATGTTGCCCCTTTTACCAGGGCTATCTATGTACATTTCTTTGAATATGGGAAAGTTATAAACTTAGCCGACTTTTGAGTTGGGAGACCCAGAGCCAAGATGATTGAATGTTAAATTAACACCTCTCCTGCATTCACTCTGGAAAGAATAAAAATTGGAGAAGGGAGAGGATGACCACAGGTTTTATCAATTAATTCTGGTTAATATTTATATAAGCTTATCAATTAATTCTGGTTAATATTTATATAAGCTGACTAAGTGCCAGGCCCAGTTCCAAGCATTTTACATACATTGACCCACTCAGTCCTCAAAATTTCCTGATGTGGTTTGTCAGATGAAGAAACTGGAGGTTCAGAGAGGATGAGTACCAGGCCTATGGTTACAGTACATCAAGTAAGTTAAGAGCTGTGATTCCAGCCTGGCTCCCAGTCCGTGGTCTATCAGACCAGAGCCTGACAAGTCATAATTGAGAAAACTCATGGCATTACCGTGCCTACATGTTACATAAAAGTTAGAATAAAAGGAGTACGAATTAACAACAATAAGAAATTTATTATTTTGTTTTGTTAAAATGATCTATGCAAATTAGGCATCTGAAAACCCTCACCAGCTTCCAATGGTACTGGATTTAACTTTTAAACAAGTGTATGCATTCTTCTTTGAAAAAATAATTTTAAACTCAACTCACTTTGCTTAAAAGGAGAAAAGCAAAGAGGAAGTCTTAATGAGCTTGGAACCTCTTAAAGTATTACTCACATTATGATGATATTTAAGCACTGATTGTTCAGTTTTATTTATGCTCAAACCTGTTCACACTTTTCTAGAGGCTCCAGCAGAATAGTTTCTGGGGTGCCTTTCCCATCTTGGGGAAGAGAGCCAGTGGACATGGAGGAAGGATACTGGATGAAGAGGAAAAGCTGTGACCCTGGTGGGCAGAACCTGCATTTTACCAGCACCATCTTGGGGCCAGGAGAGTGCCCGACCCCAGGCACCACTGTGTCTGGGGCCTGCCTTGCTACCCTGCTTGCCAACTTGCTGTGAACAAGCTAACTCAGAAGTGATTAAGCAAAACCCTCCCTACAATGTCAAGTTCTCACCCCAGTGATTTACAAGGGCCCCCCTTGAGGAAACGGAACCAGCATTACCTCGTGCCATCGGGCAGCTTCCGGTCGAAGGAGGTGCTTCGAGGAATGGCAGCCTGGGCCTGCTGGAGCAGCTGTTGGCACGGCAGCCGGTCGGGCGTGCCGGGGATGGGGGAAGCTCTAGAGAGGGGCTGCAGGGCAGGAGTGGGCACCCGGTGCCACGTGGTGTTCCTCCTGAAGGGGGTTTTATACTCGCAGGGGGTGCCCTCGCTGTCGAGTTTATATTCCACCATAGGGATCCGGCAGAGCTCTGAACACCCTCTGTTGGGCCAAGAAGAAATGGTGAGAAGGGAAGCTCTCAGCTGAGCTGTCAGCATGGCTTACTCACAGCTGGGCCCCTCAACACACATCACATGGTGTGTGCCTCTCCCGGCTCCAAGTCAATGATGCAGAGCGATCCACCCTTAGGAGCATCTCACCTATAATAAAACCACATTCCCACACTATTCAATTCCTCTTCTGCCAGCAATGACTGCGTCTAGAAATGAGAAAGGCGGTTTGTGGCTTTTTTCCTGGCTGCCGTGCAGCCACACACATCATCTATGCTGGTACCTGCTAATACAGCCGTATGGTTATTAAAATGTTCCAACTACCAATGCGTAAGAAGCAGCTGTTCCAAGACCCCCAATACACAGCTAAAAAAAATTAACACCTGGCACAGCAGAGGCCTCCAGGACTTGTAGGTTAAATATTTTAAATATATTTCTGGAGATAACAAGTACTATCTCCGGTAATTAGAAATCTAAAGTCCAGAGACATTAAACACCTTGTTCACAGTTACTCAGCAGGACCAAGACTGGGCCTCTGGTCCTCACATCCACTCCCAGGGACCGTAGAAATAAGACCCTCTAAGCAAATATTCGTCATTTTTAGGGATGATGGAAATGTCCATTATCTTGTTTGTGGTGACTATTTCACACATGGGCCAAAACTCATCAAAATGTATGCTTTGTATACATGCAGTTCATTATGCATCAACACCTCAATAAACTTGTAGAAAAAATCATACTAAATAGAAAGAGAAAAGCTTCCTTTTGTCTGATATTTTATTCTTCAAGAAAGTGTTTGGTTAAATGCAGCATAACCAGTCTTAGTGACCAAAAGAACTAGGCCATGTCTGTGTTCAACATATGGGAGTTGGTGGATTCTAAGGTTTCTCTCTCTTTCTCTGTCTGTAGTTCCTCCTTATTACAAACTTTGTATGAGATTTATCTTCCTGAAAACTTCAATGTCTCCTTAATGCCTTTCAGGCACACCATGTGCCTAGCACTGGCTTGCCCCAGTCCCTCCATAGTCACATTGCCCACAGAGCAGACGCCAGAGGTGGCTCACAGAGCCACCCAGAGTCCTCTGAGCACCTGAAATGGACTTGTGTTTGGAGGAACACAGTGATTTCATTTTCATTAATTTGACTTTAAAAACTGATACTCTGATTCATTTTTTAAGTGTTTAGAATAACTTGGGTATATGAATCTATGTTTTCAACTTTACATTTTACGAAATATAAACAGCAAGTACTCAGGATAAAATTTAGCATCTGATTTGAGATATGCTGTCAGTGTGAAATGTACTCCAAATTTCAAAGACATAATACAAAAAATAATGTAAACTATCTCATTAATAATCATTTAACATTTTTTAGATGTTGAGATGATAGTATTTTGGAGATATAAAGTTAAAATATATTACTAAAAATAATTTCACCTGTTTCTTTTTACTCCTTTTAATATGGCTACTGGAAAATCCAGATAAAATCTTTCTATTGGACAGCCCCCTGTAGAGGAACCTGGCCTGCCACAGCTCTCTGCATGTTGTCTATCTACCCCCAGCTGGCTGATCTGCTCCAGCCCCGCCTCCTGGCAATCGTATCTCCCAGTCTGACCCACATCTCAACTTAAATCTTGCCTTCTCCATAAGATTTGCTGACTGTGCTGCACAGTGCAAAGGATGGCAAGCCATGGTACAATTTAAAAAAGGTGTGTGCTCTGCACAGATGCCCCGACAGAGAATGGCTGAACTTCAGTGGTCCCTCACCACTGAAGGAAGGCACCTTTCTGACACAAGCCATGCAAGTGCATGCAGTAGCCCCATTCTTGGCTATGGGGGCCTTGTCTATTTACAACCAGGATGGATCAGTATGATCCAATATTCATGGTTTTGGTTCTGGCTAGTTGATGGATATTGCTGTTAGGCATGTGATATACAAATTCTGTCTTTCCAGCTAATTAGCAAACTTCTAGGACAGAACTGATCGAACCTTTAACTAATATGCATATGTGGAATCAAGAGCATTGAACATGGGTGATAAATAAGCTTTAACAGATTAAAAATACTTCATTTATATAAGCTGAACAGATATTTTAAACTATAGTTATATTAATATAATCAGGAATCAGAGTTACAAATCACTTTTTTATTGAGTCTGAGAGAAGTGAAAAGCACAATTAGTAAAAGCTGTCACAATTCAGGGAAAACCTGAGTGTCCATCATGTGAAAGTCAGGTGTGGCTTTTAGTTACCATAGTTGCTCTCTTAAACTGGCATCACAGCTCCCTAAAAGGTCACAGGCTAGACAGCTTTCCCATGTGCTCAAGCGATTACTCAGGTACTTAAGACTCTTTAGCCTAAAATATATGATTTAAGTCGGCTATGCCTAAGGTTCCCACCAACTGCACAGTGCAAGGCGTACTCTTAACTTGACCAAAGTCAGCCTGCGAAGCTAATTGGTGCAGTTCGGCAAGGACACGGGAAGACTAGATAAGTCTCAACTCTAGAATTCAATTTACCATGTTGGCAAACCAGTCAGCATCCCAAGCCAGTGCCTCTCCCTAGACATTCCAGAGCCAACATAAAACAACAACAACAACACTTCCTAATATTTGCCCTTTGAGAAATCTATTAGAACAAGGGATCACTCTGTTAAAAAGCAGAACTCCACTGTCAGCATGGTATAGTAAAAGTTTCAGCCTTTTCAGAAAATCATCACAACAGAACAAGGAGAACAAGAAACAGAAACAACCTCAACTGCCAACTGAATTTGGAGATCCCTGAAACTCTAATACACAGTATGTAAGTTGGAGGTGAATGGAAGAAAGGTTATGGCTCAGCAGAGCAGAGGAAGGTGTGCTGAGGGAAAAATCAGTAGGAAGGAAGACCACTGTCTTTGCAGAATGCCAAAATGGTGCAGGGACGGTAAGCACCAAGCACTGCAAAAGGCCAAGTGACAAGGGAGATTTAGGCATAAAAGTTACTTAGAAAGGAGGAACAGTAGTTCGGCCCTGGGCCCTGAGGTCCACACAGCGCCTGGCCTAGTCAGGCAGTAACCTATCCCCTACCACTGCGGGACAACAGCAGTGGTTTTTAGAGAACAGAAAAGATGCAGAGTCAAGGGCGTGAGGTGCAGAGGAGAACAGGGATGAAAATGACAAGCCTAAGGCAGAGATGAGACCCAGGGTCACTTCTCCTTCCTCTAAACTTGGCCTCAGAATGCTCACCACCCCACAGAGATCAAAGAAGATGGTTCTCTAGAGAAAAGACAAGCAGATGTAAACCATCCAATCACTCTGCAGTGAAGCTCATGGAACAACTAGATCGCTGAAGAAGAGGTGGAACTTATGAGAGTTAAAATTAAACACTAAAAAATCCAGTAAGACAGTTGTAAGGTAAACTGAGAAATTCTCTCAGTTATGAGAGATAAAAACTTAAGAAAACTGGCCGGGCGCGGTGGCTCACGCCTGTAATCCCAGCACTTTGGGGGGCCGAGGTGGGCGGATCACGAGGTCAGGAGATTGAGACCATCCTGGCTAACATGGTGAAACCCCGTCTCTACTAAAAATACAAAAAATTGGCCGGGCACGGTGGTGGGCGTCTGTGGTCCCAGCTACTCGGGAGGCTGAGGCAGGAGAATGGCGTGAACCCAAGAGGCGGAGCTTGCAGTGAGCTGAGATAGTGCCACTGCAGTCCGGCCTAGGCAAAATAGCGAGACTCCGTCTCAAAAAAAAAAAAAAAAAAAATTAAGGAAACTGAAGTTCAATCTAAAAAGTCCGGCAACTACCAGACAGACCTATCACAAAAGAGAAGAGGGAAAAAAAAAGGGGGAGAAAATTATTAAGAAATAGTATATGAACATTTCTAGAACTAAGATATGTAAAACTGGATTAAAAGGTCCAGAGAGTACCGAGCCCAATGAATAAAAAATGGTCCACATGAAAACACATCACTGAGGAATTCAGACTCCTGGGTTAAGGAAGTAAGCCTACGGTTCTGGGGACAGGGTGGGTGGGAGCCTAAGGGTCTAAGGACCTGGGCGTGGAATAGTTCCATTCTTCTCAACAACAATACTAGAAGGTACAAAATATAACAAAGGAAATCCTTGTAAAATTCTGGGTGAAAGTGATTTCTAACTTGTCAAATCCATAGTACTTGGAGCTTGGGACAGAGAAAGAGAAAAAATAAAAAACAACATCCTAACTTTTGGCTTGGGAAACCAAATTCATGGTAGCGTTAATAGAGTAGAGTGGACTGAATACACCCTCCTAAAGAAATCTTAACACCTGCTTATAGAACATGAGGTAGTGATTTCTCTGTGCATCAGTAAAGGTTAGTTCTTATCCTTTATTTTAACTCTGTTTCCCTTCCTGAAAGTAAAATTCACCTCTCTTATTTAGTTTAAGTTACTCTGGATTTACTGAGTTTAACAGTTACATTATTGGTCAAACTGAGTAAATGCAAATTACATTGGGTTGCATCATTTTCTTATAAAATGCCAAGGCTCTATAAGTTTTGTTCATGGATTTATATTGCTTCCAAGTGTTTTCTGTTTATTAAGATACCACATCCCTAGGGCTACTGATTCATCCCCATAGCCAAAGACCTAATCAGAAATCAAGGGTCAGATATGACAGTAGATAATAAAACATGAAGAAAACCTACTTTTGTCTTCCACTCAAATCGATGCTCTAAGCGTCACTGGATGTTCAGGTGAACACCAGGCTTTGGTGTCTCACAGGTTCCAGCTGCCTGAGTAGTGCACATCAGGAACTGTAACTGACTACCATTGAAGTTACAGATCCTGGAGTTATATGTTGAATGAAAGGAACGTGAACCTTGAATCTTGTGAACCCAAAGACATCTTTGCATTTCCAGTGCTTGTTTGGCCTTCAAGTTTGTTTGGTATGGTTTTTAAGAGGAAAAAAGAAAGAGAAGACAGATGGCTGAGTAGTGTGGCCTACTTAATTCATGCCCATAGACTGTAGTCTTTATAAGACACTATAATTTAGCTTGAGGCTTGGAAAGAAACATGTAATATAAATGCATAATCATGACTCATATTTTGAGAGAATGCTGGCAAAAATCTGTGCAATCCATTAAGTTGAAGAGAGAATCTGGGTGGAATTATTTTATCTCCAACCTTGTGCAGAAAGTCATATAGGAAAGGTCTTTTAAAATACTAAGAACTGGCATTCTTTTGCCCTAATAAAAATTAGCTATTCTCAAAAGAATGGTTTTATTTTAAAATCAAACTAATTTTGTTATTATGTGACACTTTTACAGCAACTACTCTTGTGAACTAGATTTTGCTTTGTTTACTTCTATGACTAAGGTGCCAAATTAGTACTACTGATATAAGCGATCATCAAACCTAGTCAAACTCAGTTCCGTTCCATATATATGAGAAATTCCTTAAAGGATGCATACAGAAAATTCAACCAATGTTTAGGGAAATGGGAAAAGGCATAAAAGAAGAATGACAAATGAGCCTGGAGAAGTCCTCATGCTGCAGTGCCCATCAGAAATGGATCTGCGTCCCCCTTGGCACGCATCCTCTCTCCCACTTGGGGGGTTTTAGCAGAGGACACCAGGCAAGACACCCCAGCTCATGTGGAGTGTCAAACTGGGGGCTGCTGTGGATGGGGCACATGGCAAATATTTCGATGAGTTAAATAAAGGCTAACTGAAACCCGAACAGACCAAATGCCCAAAAACCTAGCACAAAAAGACATTTCTAAAAAAACAAGCTGCTCAACCCGTGTGTAACTGCAACATTTTTAAAGAAAAGACTTTTGCTTTCCTGCTACAGTAGAAAAATTCAGACCTCATTGATACACATGCTTGGCTTCCTCTCGATATACCAAATCAAGTCAATGGATGGAAACTGCATTTCTAGCTTCTGGCACATTCTTTACAGTTTGCTTGCCAACAGGAGATACTAAAAAACCTCAAGATAAGGCTGTGGGATCACTTTTATGTAGGCATATTGATTTCCTCTTTGCTCCATAACAAATGTACACATCATCAACTTATGCTCCTAATTACCATGCTACATAGGGATCAATACAAAGTCAGCTCCAGGTTAAAAATAAGTGCAATTTTTCACATTTCTTGTCTAGCCAATAACTTTTCTGAGTCTATTCTCTCTTCTCTCTCAAAAGCATACACTGGAAGGCAAAACATTCTGTAGACCAAGAAGGTCACTGAAAATGTGTTAGTTAAAAATGTGGCATTATCAAACTGTAAGAATAACAAGTAATTCCATTAGATGGCATCCTCAGAGGATCTTTTATTTTACTGCTGTATTCTAAAAACAGTATTACTTGTCCTTTTGCACTCACCATCGTGGACTTCCTGGGATGGCTTAATCCTGTAAAAGGGACACTCATTAACTTATTCATATTCATACTCATGGGCTTTCTCCCCTGCTTCCTGATGCCTAAAGCTAAGTTTCCTACCAGAAGACTTCTTGGTTACAGCTGCCACCACTTCCTGGCTTCCTGAACATGATCAGCAAAGAGGGGGTGTCCTATCTTGCTCACAGTTAACAGACACCACGGTCACTGCCAAGTACTGTAGTGTATGCACTCCACAACTTCAGAGGCACCCAGGAAGGCCCCCACAGTTAACAGACACCACGGTCACTGCCAAGTACTGTAGTGTATGCATTCCACAACTTCAGAGGCACCCAGGAAGGCCCCCAAGATGGCATCCACCCACCCAGGCCCATTCCTTTCCAACAACACCTTGAGTTTCTCGGAAGAACCTTCCATTTACCATCAATAATTTGGACACTGGAAGGTGGAATCCCTGCTGGCCAGGCTATGGACTTGGTTCTAAATCATGTCTTCAAACTCTGCAGGCTGACCGTCAAGACCATCACTGTTTGAGTCTAGTCAAGCCATATGGTTTTTTCCATTTGTTCCCAACAGGAACCCTAGATACCAAACTATCTCCATTAAAGAGAGAGTTTGGGCTCTAGGCTTAAAACCCAGACATGACTATGTGTAGCTTAGAAATGTGACAACCTCTTAGACCCTCCTCTTGAAAACAGAATAGTAACAGCAGAGGGTGCATCAAGATTAAGTTACATAAAATATGTAAACTTCCTCAACTGACAGCTTCAAAAGAAAGAAGTTCACTACAAATAGACATTATTACTTCTGTTTCCACAAAAAGGGGGAAACCAACATTAAACTGCAAAAGGCACATAAAATTTTATGAAAGTTCTAGATAACAGATGTTTATAGAGTTCTGGAATTTTAAAGTTTAACTTTCAAATTGAAAAAAATCTTTAAAGCTGTAAAATTCCCTTCATCTACATTCATCTGTAGAACAATATATATCATTATCCCATTATTTTATTCTTTTCATCTTACATAAAAGTAGGATGCATGACTTTGTATTACGCTACTATGAAACTAAGAAAGGGGAAGAGTCCTAAGGGAATGATGAGTAGCAAAACAAAACCAAAAAACCTAGAGAACTGAGAAGGTTCAAAGGGAAGAATACATATTCTTATCAAAAAAAGAGAGGGCAGTTGACCAGTTAGTTGGACCAGGTACCACAGACTGTGCAGTCACAGCTTCATCTAATCCCATGACTGGAACTTGCATTTACTGGACTCTGAAATTCCCTATTGGTTTTACCTTACTTGGCTGCATCACAGAGAATCTTTAAGTGAACCCAATAATCTAAGGAAAAGCCTTACAAAGTACTGCAATGCTATTCTTTAATTCCAATCCACCACCTTAGCATGTGTAGCACTTTATAGTGCTCCACATACATCATCTGACTTTCACAAAAATTTGTGAGGTACAAAGAAAATCTCCATTTTTTCAGAAGAAGGGCTAGAGAGGTTGGAAAGATGATACAGCTAATCAGAGATAGGGTTCACAATGGAACTCAGGTCCTCTGACTCAAAGTTCAGGGCTCTTCCTAAAACACAAGGCTTTTTTTTTTTTTTTTTGAAAACCATCCAAGAACAGTTACTGCAGCCTACACTATGTCATATTTTTCAGTAGGTGCTAAAAGAATCTTTGGAAACAAAAGCCGATCCTCTAAAACAAATTAAATGTTTTTTTAATATTATGCATTTTGTAAAAGAATCATTTTATAGCCCTAGGGATTAAAGTAATCACTGATATTTTAATCATTTTAATGTCTGTTATGCTAATAGCTTGCTAATAGCTAAAATACTCCAAATTATCCAACAAGGTGACAGGGGTAATTGATGCTCATTCGCTTGAATCACAAACTCTTTCTGGTACATAAAAAAATCAAAGGCTTCCAACCGGGAGATAACCACATAGTATAACTTACTGTAAAGGTTAGGGCAGTGGCATACATGAAATAGGCACTAAATGAAATAGTAACTTGCTTTTCAACAAATTCCTTAATTTACAGATAGAAACAGAGATACCCAGAATAGGTAGAAAAAAAGACATATGAACCATAATCACACTTGACCAAGCCCTCTTATAAAGGTCAGCAATTGAAAAGGTATCGTATGAAATAGGAAGTGAGGCTATCTGGCACTTACTAATTCATCAGCTTCCTTCCATCCTTTTCCTCCCTTACTAGAAGCAGACACAGGGGCAGATGGTATCTTTGTATCCCCAGTACCTGGCAGAGCACTGGACAGAAGCTCAGCACGTTCTTGTCAAAATCAACTGCTTTGTTTCTTAGAAAGCTTGAGAGCAGGAGTAACACTGCACTGTAATACTTCAAAATTATACAGAGAAGATTCTCAATAGCTAGCTATCTGACGCCTGATTTTTGACGAATGTATTTCTATGGGGGGAGAATATCCAATGGCTGTCCACTATGGTAGCCACGGTGTAACCTGTCAAGCATGAGATGGTTACTAGTCTAACACAATGCTCATGCTTTACCGCCATCCTCTGCATTCCTCTTATTGTGATGGTAATATCCCAACATTCAAAATGAAAAAACACGTGGGCACTGAAGTGTAGATTATTACTTGGAAAGGGTGACAGCATTTTCTACACTACCCTGAGACATTTATTATTAAGTAGTAAGTTGTTGCTGTAGTTTGAGAAAAATCACTTTTAAATAGCCAAAATATGAATAAGTACTACTGCATTTTAGAAAGCCAGAAAGACTAAAAGGAGTCCTTGAAAGTCAGATTACATCTGTCCCATCCGTTTTAACAGCCCCAGTGCTCAGCACAGTTCCTGGCACAAGCTAGTTAAGAGTGAGTGGCTGAATGAATGAATGAATGAGTGAATGCAAGGCAATCTACCTTAAATTCTATAATCCTATGTTCTTACTTTAGGGAGTGAGAGAACAATCTGAATGTTATATTGGAGAAACTGGCCAGAGGACTCAGAATAGTGATTGTACTTTAGGTTACCTTTGTTCTGTATTGTTTTCACATTTCACATCAAAATTCAATACTGGAGCGTCCATAAGACAACACTAGACATAACTAATTTTTATTATCCATACAAATAAGTTGGAACTCGAATATAAAAAGCTCACTTGAGACACACGCACGCATATGTTCACTGCAGCACTATAACAACAAAAACGTGGAATCAACCTAGATGTTCAACAGTGGTCTGGATAAAGAAAATGTGGTTGGCCGGGTGCCGTGGCTCACGCCTGTAATCCCAGCACTTTGGGAGGCTGAGGTGGGAGGATCACGAGGTCAGGAGATCGAGACCATCCTGGCTAACACAGTGAAACCCCGTCTCTACTAAAAATACAAAACATTAGCCGGGCGTGGTGGCGGGTGCCTGTAGGCCCAGCTACTCGGAAGGCTGAAGCAGGAGAATGGCGTGAACCCGTGAGGCGGAGCTTGCAGCGAGGCGGAGCTTGCAGCGAGCCGGAGCTTGCAGTGAGCCGAGATCGCGCCACTGCACTCCAGCCTGGGCAACAGAGCGAGACTCTGTCTCAAAAAAAAAAAAAAAAAGAGAAAATTCCATATACACCATGGAATACTATACAGCCATAAAAAGAACGAAACCATGTCTTTTGCAGCAACACAGGTGGAGCTGGAGGCCATTATCCTAAGCAAATTAACACGGCAACAGAAAACCAAATGCTGTCATGTTCTTGCTTACAAGCGGGAGCTAAACATTGAGTACACATGGACACGAAGAAAGGAATAATAGACACTAGGGCTTATTGAGGGTGAAGGGTGACAGAAGGGTGAGGATGGAAAAACTGCCTGCTGGGTAGTATGCTGATTGCCTGGGTGACAAAATTATCTGTACACCAAACCCCCACGACACGTAATTTACCCACGTAACACACCTGCACATGTACCCCTTGAACCTAAAAGCTGGGAAGAAAAAAAAGTCTGCTTTGTAATGAATAATAAATGGGATAAAGCATGGAAAAAATTTTTAAAAAAAGAAGGCTCACTTGAGTCCAGATTTCAGCCCACCATTTATTTTATATATGTATGTGTGTAGATATACATCTAAAAATAAAAACTGTTAAACTGACAAAATTGAGTTTTCCTTCTATTTCCATACTCTCCTCTCTGCATACTTCAGGGAGTTGAATGACCAGGCAACAGACAGCAAAACAGGAGATGAGAACATAAAGTTTTAATTTTTATAGAATGATGAGAGAATAATAATTTAGACTCATGATAACATGAGAAAATTTCCACTGTTTTGCATTATATAGAAAAATGCCTTGGATAGTATGTCAACAAAGTATGAAAAAAATCACAAAAAAACAGATGCACTGCAGCAAGGAATTTCATTTCCATTTTTATTGGACATATTTACTAAATTCACTCACATTATATAACAACTCATGCATAATTCTGATGAGTTGTTACTTCCTTTATATCCGCCTTTTAGGTTGATATGCTTTCCTTCAAATGACACTGATAGAATGTCAGTCACCTTTGAAGGCCAGAGGCCAGGGCCATACCGGTGGCTGTAAATTATCCCTTGCAAAAACAAGACAGATCTTAATTAAGCATTTCTGGCCCCAGCAACTCTTCATCTTTGCCACAGAGACTGTCTGCTTGAGAAACACCCTGGTTCCCCTTTCAAACCTCATTTCCATTTGAAGAGTACTATTCCCAAACTGCTTCTTGCCACTCATTCCCAATGTATATGAATTCACTCCAGGATCCAATCCCAGCACGAGATCAGTTAATAAGTGTCCCTCAAGGGGGATTCTCCCTGCTCAGTGTTCCCTGCAACTCCACAAGGAAAACTAAAAATGGCTCTGACTTCCCTTCACGCTGAGGGACAAGCTAGACTGTCACCTCCCTTAGGCTGGCAAATGGGACTTCAAAACACAGGTGGCTTTAGGTTGAACATAAATACTTTTATGGGAATTCAAAACACAGGTGGCTTTGGATTCAACAGATTAATAAATACTTTTCCTACTAAAGACTGCATTTATTCCAGCAGCTTCTGAGTCAAAACCAAACACCTTTTGACCTGAGGACAAGAAAAACTGTCTATTAAATGACAGGCCACTCATGCTGCCCACAGGAGGAGCTGGGCTCCCATGTCAAATGATTTTCTAAAACGGGAGTTGATAAATGGCAAAAATGAACTGAAGCATTTTTCACAACATTTATGAGACTAAAATATCTCATAATTCCTTAATTTGGCCATTTTTGTAGTCTTCATAGTGTTTATGTTAAAAACTACTGTAAAAATGTATATGTATATATACACACATACACACAGAAACACACACATGCATATACATGTCCATTTAAATAATATTTCTCCTCCCTCACAAGCACGAAGAGTCCATCTGAGAAAGTTGGAGGTCATTTTCCATGCTGCAAGTCAAATGTATAGCTTTAGCTTGAGGCACATCCTGTTATGTGTTGCTATATGGTTAACAGTACTAAAGGATGTTTGATTTAAAGGGTTTGTATTTTAAATTTTAAAAGGAGTGAAGTGCTACCCATTTCCCCTTAGCCCCTCCTCTACAGTTTCTTAACAAATCTAATAATGCAGAAGGCTAAACATGCTGAGCGCGAGGGTGAAACTGAAAATGACACTTCATACTTACACTTGCGGTCTAAAGCAAAGGGCTGGTATTGCAAGGGTGGTATCTGGTTATGAGAGGTTGTCTCACAACACCAAATACTTTTATCAGGGCACCCAGACAGTTGCAGGCAGAAAACAAATCAAAACTAACAAAAATATGGATTTAAAAATTTACAAATTCAGATTCCTAGAAAATTGGAAAACTGAATTGAAAGAGTTTTAAATGATACAGGCTAGGCTTAAAGCCTTCATGACCTGCAGAAATGTGGGTGATGGGTGTGCCAATTTTGGAACGTTGCTACTAGGCAAATAGCTAATTCTAATCCTTCTGGCTAAGGTTAAAAGACAGTTATTACAGATTAATTGGGAAAAAAAACCCTGTATGTTTAGGGAATGACATTAATGAGACTCCTAGGAGGCAAGGGCAAAATCTTTAAATAAATATCTTGCCTAGCTCCATTAAGAGAATTTGCATTTAAAACAAAGAATTAATTATGTGTAGACCAAGGCAGATAACTGATTCCTTAGAGGAAAAACATGTCCTTGGATAAAAAGATAACAGCTGCTGGAACTTTTAAATTGTAGTTTTTGTTTGTTTTAGCTGAAAAACAATTCAATATTTCGTAGAAAATTCTATCCTCCTAAATTGTATTTCTAAATACCAAATATCACGACAACTTTACCATTTTTATTAAACAGATCTCTTGAAAGCTTTAAAAATTTCTTACTAACAGTAAACCAAAACTAAAAATAGGCAAGAAATGTTATTTTTTAACCCAAAGGAAGCGCAAGGTAACATTTTTGTCCAATTCTATAGTAATCGGCTGCTAGGACAGATAAAAGACTTGATACAAAGGCAGATAAAAGACTGATTCTTATCTTAATAATTAAAAACCTGTATTTCTACTAAGGAAGACAGAAATCTTACTGTATGAAAAAATTTCTAACAAATGCTGGAAAATGTACTATAAAAGAATTTTACATATACAGTACTTTAGCTTTTAAGGCCTAAAGGATTTGCCTTTTGTTATTTCCAAGACTCATTTTTAATAAATTAATTTTTTATTTTCTTTGGACTCATAGCAGTACATGTGATTCATGGGACTCTGGAAAAGCAGACAGATTCAACTAGGCAGAATCAGGCAAGGCAATAAGAAACATCTTAACACGGGACTGATACTCTACAGAGAAAACTTAGTTTCTTAAATCCTTATTTTATAAACACACTGGGCAAATACAGGAAACAAGGCCACAGAAAGTGAGGCTGGAGGCAAATGCTAAGATAACTAATAGAGAAAGATTTTTGCAAGATTTTGCACATTAACCATAGAGGAAGACAGTGTAAGTGGCTTTTTTTCCTAAAAGGAGATCATGGTTTAGCTGATCTATCCAATATGGCAGCCACTAGCAACACGTGGCCAATTAAATGTAAATTAATTAAAAGGAAAAATTCGTTTCCTAAGTTGCACTACAGTTCATGTACGTAATAGCCACATGTGGTTTGTGGCTACTGCTCTGAACGGTACAGACACAGATCACTGTAGAAAGTGCTAATGGAGAGTGCTGGCTTAAAGGAGGAAGAAAGGAAACAGAGAAAGGAGAGAGTATGACCTAGGTTAGTAAGTCCAGAAAGTAGACCCAACAATCCTACTATCTTTGGATAATCAGAATTTATTTTTTCATATGAAAGAAATTAAAATGAATATGCTAAAGTTTTATTTATTATTATTATTTGAGATGCAGTCTCACTCTGCCACCCATGCTGGCGTACAGAGGCACGATCTCAGCTCAGTGCAGCCTCGACCTCCCAGGCTCAAGGGATCCTCCTACCTTCCCCTTCTGAGTAGCTGGGACTACAGGTGCACACTACTGCACCTGGCTAATTTTTGTATTTTTTGAAGAGATGGGGTTTTGCCATGTTGTCCAGGCTGCTCTCAAACTCCTGGGCTCAAGCGATCTGCCCACCTCGACCTCCCAAAGTGCTGGGATTACAGGTGTGAGCCATAGCGCCCAGCCCCTAAAGTTTTATTTTTCTAAATTAAATGTGTGGGGCAATTATGCTAGAAGGTTCTAAGTGCTTTACATGTGTTACTTTATTTCATCTTCATTGAAATCATAGGAGGTAGGCGATATAATAATCCCATCTTACAGAGAGTAAGTGAGACTTAGAGAGAGTGTGTGAGTTGCCCCAGGCCACACAGCAAATTCCTGGATTCCAAGCATACTTTGTCTCTCAAAAGCCAGAGCTCTTAAGGCTGCCTGTACGAACTCCATTTGGGAATGAAGATAGAGGGAAGGTGCTCTAGATACTACCACCAGTCATGCATTAACACAAGTAGTGGGCCACAGCCTCAATAAACGGCTCCTTCTTAATTAGCATTCTTTCTCCTTTTGGCCTAATATTTTATGTTGGGCATGATTATTTTCTATTAGTAATGTAATAGTATTGCTTTCTAACCCCGTTCTTATCCCAGCCCTCCACCTATCCGCCTCTGAACCTTCCAAGTCTAGCCGTTCCTTTTCATCTATTTCTCCTGACAGTTTATGATAACGCCCTGAACCAGTTCAACATCTCTCAAGCTTCAATTGAGAATGGAGTATTTACCACAGAGAGTACCTGTGCTGTTCCAACATTCTTTCATACCTACAACTATTGGTCTGTTAAATATTTTTTAAATAATCAATGGCTTCATGTTATGGGAAGAAATTCTAACTGAATAGTTAAGTATTTAATGTGCTCAAGGCTGAGCTGTGATACAGAATTATTTCCTCTTAGATATAAGAGGTCCAGGGGAACCAGGCAGGTGCTCTTCCCCTTAGTTCAGAATAGCTCAGCTTTAATGTAGTCAATGTTCCATTAAAATGCTTAGCAAATTATTTTTTATCATCTATTACATATTTTAAAGCTCCTTTTCAATTCCTCGAACGAGTGACATCCCAACAACATTGTACAAATGAGTGACATCCCAGAACACTGTACAAAGACACACTTGACTGCATTTTCTGAGGACCTTGCAGGAGCACTGAGGACAGCCACCTGCTACAGAGGCAAAGGAGGAGTGAGCATTACTTGGGCCTCCCACGCCTTACCTTCGGGGCGAGCCGTCATCATGGGGCTGGATGATGACCACCTTCACAGTCACAGAAGTACGGAGCAGGTCGATCATCTGCTCGTGGGTCAGAGTGGCCACGGCTACTTTGCAGATCTCCACGAGGCGGCTCCCTTGGCGAAGGCCAGCCTTCCAGGCAAAGCCAAAAGGTTCCACATCTGCGACAATTCCTTCAAAATTCACATGGAAGCCAAGCTGGCCCAGCCCGTTCCTCCTCAGGGTCATTTCCACAGTCTCGCAGCCTCTCGTCACTATCTAAGGGGGAAGGAGACTGTTAGAGATGCCCTTCCTGCCCAAGCTGCCATGGGGCTCTGCCAAAGGTGCACGTATGGGCCTCCATGCCAGCCCTCTCCCTTGGGCCCTCGCAGCCCAGCCTGTCTCTCTCTGCCTTTTCCTCAAACTGTCCAAGTGACAGGACAAGGACACATTTAAGTTCAGAGCTGATCACAATTAACATTTGCATCAAGTGCAAAGAAAATAACAGAAGCAAAGCAATGGTTTCATTCTTCATTCTAAGTCATATCTGTTCTTGATACAGGTGTCCTGCTTTCTTAGATGTCACTGACCCAGAGCTTGAGAGCTTCAGATGGGCTCAGATAATTCCCGTTTTTCCTTTATTAGGTAAATTGACTTGACTTTTAAGCATATAAATCCCATCGTTCTAGATGGATTTTTGCAATGGAAAACCTGTAAAGACTTTGTGGACCATTACAAGTTTCAACCAGCAAGCACTAAAAACCATGAGACAATTTATTCATCCCAAGCAAAGAAAAACACCCCAAAGCACTTGAAAGCTAACGCTTAAGAGCCCACTCTGAGGTTCAGGAAGGGCAGTGGCAGAAAGTCAGAGCTTTAGGAAAACTCTAAATGTTCTCTACGCACCAGCCCTAGGGACATACTGTGGAGTGTTCTGTCCCCTAGGGTCCTTCTCTTGAGGACAGACAACTGCCTATGCTTGCCTGAGTGGTGAGGACCACTCAGATCCATGGTGGGGGCAGGCCAGCCAGACTCCTTGGCCATCTGTTCACAAGGCAAGTGTGTAGGATGGTGCTCTGGCAGGCAGCAGACAGACCCTCTGTGCTTATGGGCTGCCTCTCCTCCACTAGGCCTGTCTCCTAGGGGCTGAGGGCAGCCCCAAGCAATGGAAGCCTCAGTGTATGTACCTTACTCAAGAGTGAGAGAGAGTCAACAGCAGTTCCACAAAAAGGAACATGAAAGAAGAATGGTGGATTGCATCCCACTTGGTACATTAAAGCACCACTAATGCAGCCCTCAAAAGCACTCACCGAGCATAGTTTACATCCAATGAAAGAAAAACATGGGCTCATTAAGTATCACCCGATGACTATGACCTCACCTATCTGTGGGAATTTCAAGTTGGGAGGTATCATACTCCTATCCCCAAAAGCCCAGAGGCAATGTATGAAGTTTCAGTTTAATGAACACTCCATTTCTATGAAACATGCTCTGACTACATAGATACCTATTTAATAAGACCTATGACAGTAAGTACAGCTGTGGGACTGGGGCTGGTTCATGTATCACCACTGTGTCTGATGTTTCCATGGTTACCACAAGTGCACACAATGCCAATCAGCTTTTCCCAGACAGGCATGACAGTTCACGACTCAGCAAAATGCGGAAAGGGGACTGCTGGTTTTAGTTAGTGATGATGTTTTAGAATATTGACGTTTCTAAAGTCATGAACTGAAGTAACTAAAACTTGAAGAAGTAGTTCTGTAATAGGCACAACACAAATAAATTTTGGTCACTTCTTTTTCAACTTTGTTCTAAGCAATCCTATCAAAAGACGACACATAAGATGTACCCAGCCTTCTTTCAAATATCAATGCGATTATCAGGTGAAGTTTATCATCCATGTATCAGGCTGAAGAGTTATTGGCTGAGCCTTTCCAGAGTCCTCCAGCTCTGGCTCTTCTGCTCATTTCCTCCAATCACCTGCCACCTCCCCTACTTTGTCTTTTTGCTATTTCTTTATCCCCTCTGTTTATTGCTTCCTAACATCCCCAAAGTCTGAAGTAAGGTGTTCTCCATGTATTTGGACTTCTTCCATGGACCCAATTATCACACGAAAATTGTAGTCTCCAAGCCAGGACTGGCTATGTAATTTGTGGGGCCACAAGAAAAATCAAAATGCGAGGCTCCTTATGAAAAAATTAGTAAGTATTTCAAGATGGCAATGGCAGAGCATTCAACCAAGCACGAACTCTTCTGAGAGCGGGTCCCTGTGCAACTGCATGGGTTGCACATCCGTGAAGTGAGCCCTGCCTGGCCCTCTAGGAACAAACTCTCATTCTGCTCCTGTACTGTTACCTGCAAGACAGACCCTTTAGTTCCACTTTCCACCACCTGAGAATGGATACTGAGTTAACCATCTGCCAAACGGGCAGGCATTCCCAACATCTCCACTAAGACTGCATTCTTCTCTTTCTTCCCATTTCTGTTACTACCACTCTGCATCAACCCTTACGATCTAATCCCTTCAACAGTCTTTGGTCTGGCTTGTTTCCAACAGCTCATGTTGCAAGTCATCCTAGACACAGAATATAATTCCTAAAATATATTTGTAATATTGTGCATCTTGGTCACACTGACAATACACTTTTCTAGGAAAATAGGATGGAGTCCATCGAATAGCAAATGTATAAAAGCCCATGTGTAAATATCCAGGGAAAGTACATTTTTGTGGTTGGTGAAGTGGTATTTGTGTTGTATTTTCAGAAGCACAGATTATAATGATTTGGTGGATATGCTAAAAAGAAGTATTTGCAATTAGCAAAAGCAGAATGCATCCAGAGACTCACCAGTATAATTCAAGTCAATTCTCTAGGTATATAAACTAATCATTTACTTAATCACCCCAAACTCTTATCTAGGCTTGCTCACGTATACCTGATAATACTGTTGAACACACTGAGGCCCTTTACTGTAAACAGAGTCCACAAATAATGAAATTACTTTTCCAAGGCTAGCAGACACTGCCCTGATTTTACCTTCTCTTATACATGGTCTCTAATAACAAAAGGGAGGAAATATTTTTGGTGGGAGGAAAGGGGGCAAGAAATGGATATAATTTCTCCTTTTCTCATGATCCATAGTGAACTAAACCTTTTCTAATTAAAAAAAAAATTACATCCCTCTTGGGGGAAGATTTACACACAAGAAATTCTATTGTCAAAGCATGTTTTTTTCTTATATTACCAAAAATAAAAACTAGAAGTAGTTTGATTTATTCTTACTACTTTATTTTATATGCTCAAACTAAAATCTGATTCTTACTTTGTTAAAATTGGGAGCAGAAATATGACTACTGAACACCATGGATAAAATATAAGGGTTTTGCACTAAAAATCACATACATGAAAATCTTTCTTAAGTCTAACTTTTCAAAAGCCTTTCTAAATTAATGTGTAATTCTGAAAAACTCCCTTAAGAAACTGTGGCTCTAAGATTAATAATATATTTAATCTGGCACATTAAACAAAAATAGCTGCTGTATAAACATGCAGGGGTGAAACTGCAGATAGGACTCGTCATTCATACAGTCAACAGCAATTCTGTTGTTAATTACCCACTGGGAAGGTATGTTATGTCAGCCTCCATAAACAGACATTCTACCCAGACACTTCTGTTTTTCCTTCAAATGCTACTAAAATACATCTTAATGTTCTCTTTTGCAGGTTGGCTTAACTTTTCTTTTCCAATTGATTTATGATGGTTGCTTCTCCACCATTCATGTATTCAACAACTCCCCAAAAGGACCCAGCATTTAAAATTAAGCTCTGTATCTGTAACAAATAGTAATGCATTCCCTAATTGGTATAATCATGGTAGCAGTTCCCCAGTGAAAGTTATTTTGAATCTGGAATTGAAAACATAAGGATGGCGGGAAAATAGAAAACATGTACTTACTACTAATCGCTGAACAATTTCCCTGATGTCTTCAGCACAGTTGTCTACCGAGGACAGGAGGACACATTCTCCTCTTTCGTAAAACACTTTGATACTCACTAATCCAGATGTCCACCCAATCACATCCCTGCAGGAACAGTTGAATACAACATTCTTGGAATCCTTTTCAATCAACATGATGAACTCATTGGAGATCCCGAGAAGACATTCAATGTCAGCAGACTGGCCGAAGTCCCGGGCTATCACGTGCCACATGATGGCCCCAATGCTAAACAAGTGGGCATCCTTCCTTGGCTTTACCTTCTCCTTTTTCTTCGCACCCAGCGTAATGAAGCTGAACTTCACAGAGGTATCCACGGTGGCGGTTGTGACAAAGTTCTCCGCCAGATCTTTCAAGTACTCCTGCCTCGTTCGAGTGGCCATTGCTCGAAACTTTTCTGATTTATGGGCTGCATTTTCTGCATTGATTACTTTGGCTAAAAGGAAGTCCCGGAACACGGCTGACTTTGGAAAAGTTACACCTTTGGGAATCGGTGGGCCAAATGGTGGCACATCTTTTGATCTGGAAACTCCAACACTGAGGAAGTAAAAACAGAAACAAAATGAGATGAGCTATGATACCATAATATGTATCTTTCCGAATTTGACATATATATACACACACACACACATATACATACACACACACACACACATATACATACACACATACACACACACTTTCAACTTAACTGGTTTATTCTGCAAGTTCTTGTTCTCCTAATTGCTGCATACCCAGGGTTTGTTGTTATTGTTGTTTAAGCAAAATGCTTTAAACTTAGTAGACAGGAGGTGTAATGGGCTGAATTATGTCCCTCTCAAAATCCACACGTTGACAAGATAACCCATAGTTCCTGGGAATGTGACGCAATCTGGAGAAAGGACCCTTAAGGAGGTGGCTAAGTGAAACCATTCGGGTGGGCCCTAATCCAACTGACTGGTGTCCTTATAAGAGGAGAAAATTTGGGCTTACAAAGAGACACCAGGGATGTATGCACACAGAAAGAAGACCATGTGAAGACACAAGGAGAAGACGGCCATCCATAAGCCAAGGGGAGAGGTCTCAGGAGAAACCAATCCTTGCTGACACCTTGATCTTAGACTTCCAGCCTCTAGAACTCTGAGAAAATAAAAGTCTGCCGTTTAAGCCACCTAGCCTGTGGCATTAGTACGGCAGTGCTACCAAACTAATACAGGGGGTAACACATCCACAGCATGTGGAATAAGCAGGCTGGCACTCTATAACTCTGTGGGGCTGGTTATCACTGGGAGAAACAGTAGCTCTTCTGACCAAAGTGGGTTTAGCCCACGTTAGCTGCATGGGATTCAGTGACGTGGGACAGAGTGATCATACTTACAAGAGCCAAAAGTTTTAAGTGTCACTTTTTTAAAGGAAATGCTCACTTTACTTGATCACATTTTGAAAATCTAAATGAAGGTTTTATGGGAGCAAAGTTTTAAGGGATCTCAGGGACTGAAGAGATCAAATGCATAGTGTTAATAACGAGCATTGTAATCTATTAAAACCAATAACGCTCCCCTACATCAGAGAGTTGCTTTAGTTATCTCATATCCTTTTCTGCATAAGATAAATTATACAGTGGACTAATGAATTAACAAAGGAAGGACTGGCCAGGTGCGGTGGCTCATGCCTGTAATCCCAGCACTTTGGGAGGTCGAAGCGGGTGGATCATGAGGTCAGGAGATTGAGACCATCCTAGCTAGCACGGTGAAACCCCGTCTCTATTAAAAATACAAAAAAATTAGCCGGGCGTGGTGGCGGGCGCCTGTAGTCCCAGCTACTCAGGAGGCTGAGGAAGGAGAATGGTGTGAACCTCGGAGGCGGAGCTTGCAGTGAGCCGAGATCACGCCACTGCACTCCAGCCTGGGCGACAAAGCAAGACTCCGTCTCAAAAAAACAAAAACAGAAACAAAAACAAAAAAACAAAGGAAAGATTAAGACGAGTAAGTGAATGAATGGATTCTGTATCACTGGCAGCATTGAGAGCACCCCAATTACTGAGTAGCTACCACAGACCAAGAATCTGTATTAATCCCACATCTGCCCAGGCTGATGTTGGAGTAAAGAAAGGAAGCAATCTTTGTTTTGTTTTCATCATTGTGGAAAATTCTAAAAAAGGTAAATTAAGGAATAAAAACATTCCATCCAAATTTGTTCTGTCAGATGCAAACTCCTCTTCTGAAATGTGGTTGGTTAGACTTTAGAAAAATCGCAGGCTAACTTGTGCTTTAATCTGCAACCTCTTCAGCAGAGTTAATCACCTGTAGCGGCAAGACAGACAGGTGGCTAGATGGGTCCTTCACTGATATGAAAGGGAAGCAATGACTGCTTTGCTTTGGGACAGATACACCGAACTCATCAATAGCACCTAGTGGTGCTTTATGGTAGTATATATACCATACCAGAGGGTATGTGTGTGTGGGAACTTGACTTACGGGCTTAAATGAAGGAAAGGTCCTTAAAAACATCACAGAGGTTGACACTGCCAGGGATCTACATCAGGTGTGGCCCATTTTCCCCTCACCACCATCCTCAGGATGGCCATTCTAGACTGGGAATTAATTTATCCCCCACAATCCCCCATGTTAACTCTGGGAGAGTGGTCTTAAAGCTACCTGTTTGGACTTGTGATTAGTCTAACCACATCCTGTGGCTTCTCTTCTCTACGCTGTCAATGAGCTCAAAGGGTCTCTCTGTGCACTGCAACCTGCCCTGCAAATATTGGGTACGATAAACCAATGTATCACCGCTCCTAAATTTGGTTCTCTCTTTCAACAGTGAGTACAGATTTCTAGCAGTATTTTACCCATGGAACGCTGAGGCGGCCAAATGTCATCTGGCACTCCAGTGCATTACTTCTTTGCATTAACTCTGTAGATCTCATGCTACCCTCTGAGTGCAGCTTGCATGCACTTAAGCTACAATGTCAGGGGAAATTTCTTGTTATCTAAATATGCTCCACTGTGGTGTCACATAGTAAATAAGAGAGACATGGTGACTCCATTATATAGTAGGGAAATTTTTTGTGTATCCAATTATAGACCCTAATATCTAATTGCAGATTCTCTGTACAATGTATGCCATATTCTTGTTCAATAAACTGTATTCTTGCACATCTCAAAGTTGTACAAGAAAACCAGCAGAATGTAAGCATGGCTATTCCATGATTGTTATGATATTCTGGGTATGGGAATCAATTAGAGACCCTTGGTTACAAAAGCTCATAGGATCCTTAACATTTCAAGTAGAGTCAAGTTCAGAAGAAATATTCTTTTGCCAGATTCAGATAATTCCCATTGTGTGGAAACGAGAACTTACATCAGAGCTCCTTATTTCACCCAAATAACTCGATAGCATTTATTAATGATTTAGGGGCCTTAGATATTTAAGGCCCCTCCAGCAAAAGCAAACAGAAAGATAAGCATTCCTTAATATGCACATGAAAGGGTTTTAACAAGGCCTGCTGGCCAAAGGACAATAAAGAAAGGTGTGAGGAGCAAACTGGAGTCAGGTAACTCCCGGAGTCAGGGAGTCCAGCTCTACCACCTCCTGAGTGACTGAGCTAACTACACTAATCCTTCAGTGCCTCCCTGCCCTCATCTGTAAAATGGACGGTAAAATAGTATCATACCCAAAAGCCCATTGTAAGGATGATAGAAAATAATGCATGTAAAGCTTTTATTACCCAAATTGTTGCTGTTACTGTCACTATTACTATCATAGTTGTTGTGTTAATAAATGATTTAACCCTGTCACCTAATTTTTGTCAGAAGATGTTACATATTAGATTTTCTAAAAAATGGCAGTCATCATTTTCTATAGGTATCTCTCCACTTTTAATTCACTCTTAGCTACCAAGACTTCTCTCATTCCGTTACTGAGCATTTTGCAGAGAGTTTATCTTGGAAAGTACATAAAAACATAAATCCCTGACAGCTTAACATTAGCTACAAATTAAAGAGTCTTTTATAAAGAAATAGGCAATTTGTTATGTCTGCTTTTTAAATATTTTCAGGCTGAAAGTGAGATGTTTCGTGGGGCTCTGGGGGTGTTGCCTCATTTCTCCTAGTTCCAGTGGACCCAGCATAACTGCTCGAGCATTCTGCTGCGCTCATGGGGGAGGCCTGACTCCCTCTGTAGGGTGGGAGTGTGGTCTTCTGCTCAGGCAGGTACACCTGACAGGCTGCACGATTTTCATTAGAGAAGGTGATCTCAACCGCACAGCCCCTTCTGACAGCTGTAAGGCCTATGAATTGGCATTGGTACCGTGGGTCCGCGTCAGCAAGAATACGCTGCCACTCAACACCCGAAAAAAGCTCAGGAGAAAAACAGCTTTCACGGGAGCTTGCCACTCTGGATTAGGACATAGCAAAATTTAAGAAAACTGTAGAGCTGGACTATACCATTTCCTTGGAAATTATTTTAATGAATTTATTTCTCCATTGGAATATTTAGAGGAGTATCACATGAAACAGACCAATAAGGTGTTTTTAGAAAATGTGGGCATGCCAACCTTATTTCATGAGATAGAGTAAGGACAGCTTCATAAAATGTTATGGAATTCATGTGACTACAGGATTACTCAAGATTATTATTGATTCTTCAAGAAATACTAGTGATGTTTTTAAGCAAGATCAACGAAGCTGATGAGGCACTTCCAAAAATGTTAGGCACTTGAACTGATGTTGCATTTGAATCTCATTAGTAAAGGTTAATTTAGTAATAACAATGTGGTTTCTTAAAAACCAATGACTCCATCTCTGAATGATTGGCATATGGTATCTTTATCACAGAAAAAATAAGGCAATGTACTTTGTTATATGTAAGAGATCTCTGTGGTGTTTTCAAAAACATTAATTAAATACATTCAAAACATTTAATTAGATTCAAAAACATTTATTTCTTTTAGGTTTTCTGGTTTTAATTAAACAACTCAGTTTTTTAATTAAACAGAGTTGTTTAATTAAAACCGGAAAACCTAAAAGAAATAAATTGAACAGGTATTGCCTATCTTTACAATTTTTTGTGCTAATGAATTACCTCATGATATAAGCATAAAGATAGCAAGTAATTTAAAGTACTCCATTTGACCTAAAAATAGCCACCCATAAAATAACACCAAATACAATACGATAAAGCCTTATACTTCAGTTTTCCCAATCCAATTAGGAAGGTTCATTTTATTCTTCAGAATTACCATTCGCTGGATGAGCTCCCAGGAAAAAAAGGCCAACTCACCAGGTTTGTACCAATATTATCTATTTTAAGCCTATCATTTGTATAGAGTAGATACTATATTCTTTCAAATATCACTTTTAAAAAGTAGTTCTGAGCATTTAGGCCAGTGGTCTGAAACCCAGATGTGCGTAAGAATGACTATGGAGGGAAGTATAGAGATGACAGGTGTACTGCATTAGAACACAGCACAGTAGAGCCATAGACTAGGGCTATGTTTAATAAGGCGACTGGGAAGTAAAATTCAGGGTAAGAACTGATGGTTTTCAGACTTTGTTCTAAGATGGCTTGGGCATCTGTAGGGTGGGATGTAAAATGGCAACTTCTCAAATACAGACTAATTTCTCTTGTGCCTTTAGGAAGCAAGCTCTGTAGTCTTCACTTTCTTACAAGGAATAGTCGTGTCTCTGAACTAGGCCCAGTGGGCAGCTGAATTGGCAACTACTGCTTTAAGATGATAAATGAAAATAATCTTGGATGAATGTCAGGAACTCCAATAGGTGTTTTACATAATTTAAGCTATTTATTCATCATAACAACATACTGAAGTAGGTACTATCATTACCATTATCTTCAATTTTAAGATGAGGAATCAAATGTTAAGAAAAATAAAGTAAGCCACACAAAGCCCTATGATAAGTGGTAAAGCTGGTTTCAAACTCTGGTCAAAGACCCATTGTTTTACCAATACCCCACATGATATGATCATTTGGCTGCAGTTATTCCCTAAGATTTCCTAAGACAGAGTCTGAGAGTAGTGGTTAAGTATAAAAGCAGGCCTTGTCAGAGCCAGTCTTGGGATTCCAAGGCACGCATGTGGCCTTTTGAAGTCACCCAACAAGTGTTAACCTCTTGTTTCAGCAGCCCTGCAAAGATCCAAGATCTTTGATGAAAAGAAATGTTTTACTGCCACTATACTTACTTCTCCTAGATAAGCACTTAACCAGCCACTTCATCCAACTCAGAGGAGGATACCAATTAAGCTATTGATTCTGGCTCAAGTTTTTAGGAGAAAAACAGAGGAAATGTGTAATCCACCATTTTAAAGTGCTAGGCATTTCACTTTTTCAAGGGGATAAAATGGGAAGAAGGCAATTATTTCTTACAGAAAGTGTCTGAGTAATTAGAAAATCACAAAGTTGCAAATAATAATTGGCAAACAAAGATATTTTTGGGAAAAGACGCCCTGTTGAAATAAACCTGGGAGAATGATAGATCAGGGATGACTGACTCACCTATAACACACATTTTCGGTACATGGATTATGCACTTTGACTATGACAAAGACATGCTGAAAGTGAGACCGGATGCTTTTTGGAGTAAAAGGAAGTGCCCCAGGCTCCTGGAAGACGATGGTGACGATGTCATTTCCTATGTGCCTTTTCCTCAGTAGCTGTGGTCAAGAAAGTGAAGAGTTACAAATAAGTTTTTCTTTAAAACAAAATATATATATAATTCACTCATCTTTCAATTTGAAGGAGTGATTTTTAAAAAGCACAGTCATTCTTTGGAAGTCAGTGCTCCTAAATTTGGCATAGAAAAAGCAAAATGGGCTTCATCCAAAAGACCCGTGGAAAGAAAAGCCTAAATATTTAAGTTTATCTCTTTTATTTTAAAATTCAATTTGTACTCTCTCTCCTTTTGGTCTTTATCCAGTTCCTCTTTTTAAACCCCTAAAATAATAGCATGTTAGAGCTCACAACACTTTGAGAAATGTTGTAGTTTAAGCTCTAGACGACAAAGTCCAAGAGAGGGTACAGGTTTGCTGAAAAGTCCTACACTATCACACCGGCGGGCTTCAGCTTGTATCCTGTGCTCCCACAGTAAAGTAACGTGCATTTCTGCAACAAAAATACAGAACACTGTCATTCTGGTGAGCAATAATACAAACCAATTAACTGAACCCTGGCCGTTTAAAATGCAATTCAGAAACACAGAATTCAACTGGATTAATAACCAGAAGCCCAATCATTTGTAATTTTATAAATCACAAATCTGGCAGGGGGAATGATGCTCAGAGCAGTAACACTTGACCAACGCCTTTACTTTTGATGTTCCTTCTGCCAAGAATGCCCCCTTCCCTCCAGGTTTCTCCCAGACAATGCAGTTGTCTCTGTAGATCCCATTTCATCTGAAAGAAACTTCCTATTTCCCGGGCCTATTTCTATTACACTGGTTGTTGTACTGTCTCCTAATGGTTGGTTTACTTCTTCTGCATCAGGTCATAACCTTCATGAGGGCACAGAAGTGTCATACTGACTTTCAGTTTCCTAGTTTCTAATGGTGTGCCAGGCAAAGGAGGTACCCAATACACATTTGTTTAACAAATAAATAATCCAAATATACACTTACTGACACATCACATTATGCATTAAAATTGTGACCACTTCTTTCCTATGAACACATGCCAATAAATCCACATAAAGGCACTCGGTAAGCTTATGCAAGTGAAGGCATAGATTTGTGCTCTCAAAAGTTTGTGATCTTCAGTTTTAATACATACAACAATCCTTACACAACTTGGTGATGTCATTGCTGGAATGTGACAATCTCAGATAGTAAATCTCTTTTTACTAGCAATATGAAAGACCACGACCTTACCCTTAAATTTATTTGGCACCTACAGCGCATATTCCAAGTAAAGACCATTAAGTTCAACTTTTAAAGCCTTTTAAACTCAGATACAAAAAGGATTTCATTGTCAGGTCCCTGACTTGTGATTTAGCATGATAAAAGGCCTGGAAAAGTGGGAATGAAATGTTCATTCTTTCAGAGTTTTCTACAGGCCAGTTAAACTGCTGATTCATATGCTGAGAAATTCCTACTTAAATCCCCATGGTCAAAGTTATAAACACACAAAAATCATCTTACTGTCTGAGTGAAGTCTGGAAACATACATTAGTACATCATAATACAGACCCAATGAGCCACCTCATTTAAATATGTAGTTTTTAAAAAGTTTGCTAGATATTTAAAATGTGCCATTTCAAATGCATGTAAATAATCAGTGAAAACTATCTTTGGCAAGGACATTCTTTACTCTTTTCTCCAAAAATTGAAATACATGATTCATAGGCATTGTAATGAGACAAGGAAAAATCAGGAATAGTTTTTAAAAATATGCCCATCATTGTGTTCAATGTATCTGTAGACTACAAAACACAGCAGTTCATACTCTAGTTTATTCAGTGCCCTTGAAACACAGGAATTCTCAGACTGTCAAAAGATGGAGCTCACTTTGGCCAAGGCCAGGCAGTGAGTTCAGCGCCTCCTACTTCCTGAGTGATTGCCGGTGTGGCTTCATGTTGGCCAGCCCTCTCCATTAAACACAGGGTGCAGGGAGGGCCTTGTTAGTCAGTGCTTCATGGCTGTTGAGACTGCAACAGCAAATTGCACAGTTATTCCTATCCAATTTCTTTTCCTCCTGAAGGAACATGATGGGTCTGATTCTATACTTCACCACAGGACTATTTAAAGCACAAGTTAAAGCACAAGTTAAAGTCTGGTTACCTTGACAACATGCCAAACCACTGTTGTCCCTTTCTAGACACATTCTTTTGCTTTGTAAAATGGGCCAAAAAATGTTTTCAAAAGTCTAGTTAATTTAACCATGGCCACATAATGCACTTTGTAGAAAAAAATAAACGATTGGAGGCGGGAACAAGAAGATTCATTAGGAAGGGTAAAATCTAAAGCTCTTTGAAGGAGAATATAATAAGAAAAATGAACACTATCCATTAATAGAATGCTTGAATTTGCTTCAGAGACTAAAGAAAATATCTGGAAAATTAACAGAAATATTATTCATTTTTCTGTTTTAGGACTTTGTCAAACATGAAATAAGTAATTTCTTGAACTTCTTAAAGGCAAATGTTTTCTTTAGTATTTAGTTTATGCTTTTTTCTAACTGGTCAATGAAATTCTATACAATCAGAGTCTGTGAATGGGGAAAAGGGATGGCAAACCACAAACGAACGCAGGCTGGCAAAACCTGACGGTACTATTTGTTTGAGGGAATTGTAGGAATGACATCTTCTGGGGCGAACTTCTTTCTAGGTATGTAAAGCTAATGACAATTTTCAGTGATGTCAAGAGAACCAACTTATTAGTGTCTTCAACTGCAACAGTGAGTTAATAAATATTGTATTAGATAGATTTACATAGTCATTTCTACTAAATTTCTAACACTCGATTCCAGCTGTGAAACAGGAATAAGCTCTTGTTATGACAAGGAAAGAGAAAATGTGAGTCTTCACCCAATTCCATGGCAAAAGCATATAGATGCTACAGAAATACCATATATGGCCGTAGGTTTAGCCTCAGTTCCTTAAACAAACCAGTATCTCACAAGACCAGTTTTAACTTAGTGCAAAAATACAGTAAGATAGAAGGAGTATGTTCTAATTATTCGACAGTACAGTAGGGAAACTGTCATTAGCAGCAATTTATTGTGTATTTCAAAGCAGCTGCAAAAAAATTTGAAATGTTCTCAACACAAAGATAAGTGTTTGTGGTAACAGATATGCCAATTACTCTGATGTGATCAATACACATTGTATGCAGGTATCAAAATACAGCGTGTAACCCCAAAATATGTACAACTATTATATATCAGTAAAAAAAAAAATTTTAACGAGAGGAAAAAACTCAAAAAGCAAACTGAGAAGAAAAAAGCCAGGAAGTGAAAATAAGTATCAGACAGCACACTTGGGTGAAAAATGAAAGCTGAATTAGACAGTATCTGCTAGCCTCTATGTATATGGGTTCATTTGTTAAATTATTATTTTAAACCCAGTAAGACAGAAACAAACTGTTTTGCACCCAATGCTGGGGGAAAGCAGGCTGTACAACATGAAAGAGAACAGCCGGGATATGATTCAGAAGCTCATAAGAGTCAGAGAAGAGGAAGGTCATCTGCAGGTCTCCAGAGAAGGTCTTTAGAAAGAAGCAAATCCATATTCTCTAAACGCACACAAGTTCTCAGTCCTGGTCCTTGAGTTTGAATCTAAATCCTGTTACTAAAAAGGGGGCTGACAAAGACTCCTCTGACATGACTGATCCCTTCCTACCTCTCCGACCTCATCACCTGCTCCTTACCATATAGACAGCGTCTTGTCCCTCCTACAGAACAACTGGTTCCCACCCAAGGAACTTTGCAGTTCCTAATCTCTTGCCTGGAAAGCTCCTCCCCTTCACCCAGAGGGTTGGCTTTTCCTCTTTTAGGGAGATGGCCCTAATTTTGCACTTATACATACATATGCATGTACATAAACACACATATCCCCTCATATAAACTATACTCAAGAGTTTGCACCAGTAGTTAGAATTATGCCTTGATTTTTAAGAGGCGTATAGAGTTTCCTACGGAAAAAGTTAATGTAGAAAAGCATTCTAAATAATAACTAAGGAAGGGCAACATATACACCTTACCACATAAATACAAAAGAAAGAAAAGTCTCACCCACCTCCTGCAAAAAAGTGAATGTTAGTGAACTGTTCTCATTTCTGATGGGCAAGAACAGGATATTACATTTAATTAATGTTTGAAGGATTTCTCACTGATTTATCATTTCATATAATTATGATATTTTACCAATAACAAGAGCAAATGTACAAACGAATTAAGAAATATTGAACACTTTGCAAAGGAAGAAACAAAATAATCTAAGAATGCAGATCTTTAATGACTTCATAACAAAGTAAAGATGATAACAGGATTATGAAGATATAAATGTCTCTTTCTTCTTTCTGTCACTAGGCAATACCAACCCTCACTCTAAGTAACAATCTTTGTGATATAGTATAAGTATATGCTCCTACTTAGGGTCTGGGAATAAAGCTACTCATGGAAAGCTAAGTAAGCATTTTATCCTTCCAAAATATTCTATAGTATTATGTATAGGTGAACCCAAGTATAGGCAGGACCCAAGGCTCATCGCACTTAGTGAGGTAGGTTGTTCCAGTATTTACATGAGTCCTTAGCAACACCAACTAGGGACTTAAGGAAGTACACAAACTCTTTAAGGCAGGAGCTTACAATCAGTCTATCCACTATGGAGAAAAGGGCTCCAGGCTTAGCCCAAATACAACATCATTACCTCTTTGGTGTCAAGCCCATTACTAGAGGAAGACCAGTATCCTTTAATTAGCATCTCAGAAACCTAGGGGCTTGGTCTTACTCATTAGATACCTCCACGAGGCGTCAGGTACCCCTTCCCAACACAGCAGCTAAAATGTTACGCATACATTAAAAAATAGGTTACTGTGTGCCAGGCACTGAGGCACCTCTACTTTATATGACTACTTTGAAGAAAGAATTTCGTTGCCAAAGTGAAGTTTAAAGCTAATTTGTGAAGCTCTTCCCACTGATGACATCCCACGATGGCTTAACCATGACTTGTCTCCAGGGCAAGCAGAAGGAAAGCACACAGGGGAAGACAGCCCTGGAAAAAGTGGATGGACTGCCAGACAGATGCAGAGAGACTTGCAGGACTTAACTTTTGAAGAGAGAAAATAACTCCAAGAGCAGGGTTTCTTATCATTCTTTTGGTCTGGTGAGTTTTTCTACGCAAGAGTCAGAGACCATTCCAAAGATTAAAGCTCTTTTGCAACTGTGGTAAACTCTCTGAAGACTTTTAATACATCTTGGAATTGGCATCCAGCTTGATTTATTACAAGAAGGAACACAAGAAATTAGATCTGATGTGGACGAGTCTGGACCAGTTAAATGGTCACCAACTGTAGTGTAAGAAGCCAAGGTTACAGGCACAATTCATGTAGGGGCCAGTTAACTTTGCTAAGTCCTGTGGCTTCAAATTGCACTCATGAACCCAGCTGGTCATTTCAGACATTTCTACCTTTGGTATTAACATAATTTGTGGGCATGGATGGTGAGGGTGAGAGAAATGGAGTCAATACAACTCATTAACAAATTTGGAAAACACATGTCCCCAGATTGCAAGTGGCATTATTTATCCACAAACAGAACATTCTGATGACAACCTGTGATTGCAAAATATTAAATGTCAAAAAATAATTTTCTGAAATAATTGATAAATTTAGTCTCTCACTTTCTTAACCATTCAGAGTCTTAGTTTTTCATAATAGATCTTTAGGACTGGAGACAGGAAAATAAAATGCAAATTAGGTCATCCAAAATATGACTGGCTCTATATCTAATGAATTATAAAACAGTAACAACTAAAACTTAGTTCCATGCCTGGAACTATTTTAAGTGCTTTACATGCATTAATTTGCCTAATTCTCTATCTCCTAAGAAAGGTTCACTCATTCATTCATTATTCATTCAACAAATGTTTGTTGACTTCTTACCATGTTCTGGATACTGTTCTGGGCACACAGGGACACTTCAGGGAACAAAACAGATACAAATCCCAGCTTTCTCGAGTTTGGAATGTATAGCCTCAACTTACAGGGACTTTTCTTTTACTTTCCAGTTGGGGAAGTTTAACACACACACATCCTCCTCTATCCCCCAGTTGCATCTACATTTTCACTGCTTTGCTGTCCTGATTTTTGCGCATACAATTTTTTCAAGGCTAGTTTCAGTGAAATGAAGTCAGGTACATAAAACTCGAATGCCTACAGATTTTGATTACGCTTCAATGAAAGGGGGTGGGAAAGCCAGTTTTGAGTTGTGGTAAAAGCAAAGACTTCAAATCTCTGGAGGTTGCCACATGTGAAATGCCAGGGCCAATTCAGCCTGAAGTCCAATGACTCAAGTAATCAGGGAACTGGAAAGGCTTTGTGGTTTGAATACTCGATGACGGGGGTCAAAAGTCACTGGCTCTATTTCTGCTAACGTACTGACAGATTTTCTTGGCTTGAGTAACCCCTATCAGTTTTCTGAGCAACAACTCCCACAGAGTTTAATTACTGAATGATTCACAAGTATTTGCTGGACAACTGTCCTGGTCTAAATTAAGCCTCTTAAGATCCAGTGAATCTGCTCGGCATTATTGCAAATAAATTCTTGAGAGCTAAAATCCCTTAGGTTAAAATATACATAAATACATACATGTGATCTAGTGATTTTAAGTCTATGCTTAAAAATACACAGATGTGTAATACAGAGATAGATTTTTTGAAGGTGGTAGGAAGAACTATGATTATTAGAAAACACTAGAAAATTCAGAAAGGACAAGGGATTGAGATAAGTATGAGATGGAAAATGGCAAGAAAATCCAGCTAGCAGTTACCATGAGAAGAGACTGGGGGTCAGAGGCCTGCTTTCTCATCCTAGCTGGAGGATCTGAGGCTAAGGGGCTTCTTCCAACTAGTGATGGGAGAAGGGGAGGTAGTTGGCTGGTTTCCTCTTTGGGAAAAAATGCAGAATTAGACTAAATTTATATACTTTTATGAGTCTTTTTTAAAAAGGAAAAATTCTCTGTGACAATTAAATTTCACTCATTTGACAAATACCTATTGAGCTATTCCTATGTAGTCCTTGGTGCTTTAATATATTTAGAGCAAAGGAGTATCAGTTAAGTGACATTCAGAGAACTGTCTCCTAAATGTGAAAACAAACTTTAACTCTGGATTTAACCTAAATACAATCAAATCCCTAAAATTAAATTATGTCAATGAATCAGTTATAAGATCCTAGTAATTCACAAACCTTTCTGTAAACAAATATTCAGAAACTCAAGCAGTAACATTCTTCAAAAAATCTTCAGCTTAACATGGGCAGAGCCCAGAAGATTCTAAACAAGATGTGAAATGGAGCCTTAGCTATCCCATAGATCGTCTATCCCAAACGTAGGTCCTTTCCTATCTCAAGTGATCCTCCAAGTCTTCTCAAGCTCACAGTAGACAAAGCATTTCAACTATTTCTAGCGTAAGATAAAAATGGCCATAATTTCTAGTAATCTTTGCAAAAAAAACTTGCTTGACTCAAAGTTATACCAAAAAGTAAATTATTTTACAATGATTTATGCATCATTCAAGTTTTCAAAGGTTCTTAATTCTTACTGAGTGGCTGTAGTCAAAGCATGATGCACTCTGATTTTTTTCTCTTTAAAAAGGTCAAGAAATTTTGGCCAATAAATCCATTTAAAACAACAAAAACGAAATGGAGAGGAACAGCTGAAAATAGCACCAGTAACAACTGCAAACAGTATTCTCTATAAATAAGCTATTTACCCACACACAAAAACCGAAGTCAGGTCAACACGGTTGGCCTTTTCGTAATTAACATATAGTTGAGACAAGTTTCTCCTGAGAAAAGATTTTGCTTAGCAAGCAATAGATCTGAGTGCAGAAGAGTTTCTAAGTTTTATACGAAAAAAGTGCAACAATACGCCCTTTAAAGCCCAAATACTTCCAAATGATCAAAGAGTCAAAGATGATTAATGCTATTCAAGAAAAACCCTCACTGATTCTTTGCAAGTTCTACATGCATCAATATCATCAGTGGGCCCACCTCAGATTTCATACTCAGCGTAAAAAGCTCCAGGCTGGGGAGGACATACCTGTTGTCTGTTGTTGGGCATGTAGGGAAGCAGGGTTGACACGTGGAACATGAGTTCGTAGTCTTTGTATGTGGTATAGAGAGAGTGCGTGCCCGTGGAATCAGCTGAAAACAAAGATGAATTACAGAAGCAAGGTAAGCTGCTACAAAATTAGTGCTTCGATATTTAAAAGGTTACTGTTGCAAAAACAAAAAACAAAAAACACCAAGCTCTACCCAACCAGTATCTGGATGCTGCCCATCCAGCTTTCATCAAGCACTGTTTCTACCACTCCCGCTCCAGGACTGTGGACTGAGAGGCTCCTTTCCTTCCCCACCGCTTTCTACTGCACCTTTAGTTTCCTCGCTTTTCTTCTCTGTTCTTGCCCTCACAGTGTGGATTTAGGTGATCCACTGAAAGCGAAGTGTTTTTGCCACCAAGTGCACAGGTGAGCAGTGGAGAAGAGAAGCTGGTCCAGGTCTGGGTGCAATTATCTGAAGGGCGTGACAAACTGGCAGATGGCCTGGCCGCATCTGTGTGTGTGTGTGCGTGTGTGTGTGTGTGTGTGTGTGTGTGTGTGTGTGTGTTTTTACAGTTAATTCTTAGTTATTCTTGGCACTTGATCTTCCAGAACCCAGAAAAATGAAATAGGATTGATTGAATATGGAAATGAGAACAAAAAATGTTATTTTGAATATGTCTTTCCCTGAATGTAATTAATTTTTTTCTTTCAACAGGAAGTACATTGATACATCCCATGAATGAAGAATATGGAGAATGAATGTGATCACTTACAGAATATTATCCAGTGACATATATGTTAAAAAACTATGACATTTGAACCCCTATTAATCATAAAACTGTTCATCTTTTGAAAAGGAGAATGATTCTTTGTAAATTCAAACTCCATCTGTATTATCAATAAGAGTATCTCAGATTGAGTTTCACACATTGAAACTAACCTGCTGACTATAAAATAGTTAAGTAATTTTGGAGTAAAGTTCTGAATGACTTTTTGCACATGGATAATGAAGACAAAAAGATATACAAAAAGGAAAATGTAAATGGAATTCAATTTCTTTGTCAATTCTTGATCTATACAGTCTTATTTCTCTACTTTTTAAGCAACAAGAAACAGTGTTGTTAACATCATTTATTCCATTGTGTTTGTTGGGGAAACCTCTAAGTAGTCATTTTAAGTTAATCTTTTTTTAATCTAAAAATCTAAATTTTTACTTTAAAAACACGAAAACATTCAACCTTCACGGACTTATTATATTCTTTCTGAACCCTGTAGTATGTCTTTCTAATATTCATATCCAATTCAGAAACAGACCTGAAAACTCTTTAGAAAAAATATCCTATAGAGTTCTTAGATGCTCCAAAAGACATTCATAAAAGGCATTTTCATGAATAAGGCGAATACTTAGTGTTTACATATAGTTACCAATAAATTAATTTACAGATGGAGAGAATATTCATCCAAAAAGTTATATATAAATCAGCCCCGCCAAAAAAAAATTCCTTTTAACTATTTATTAAACACATATATGTTATTTTCAAAGGACTTCTTAGAAAGTAACATTCCATTTTAATTCTCTTGGCTCGGAACCTTGACAGTGAACGTGGCTCTGGATGTGAGCAAGCACAGTTTACAGTCTCAGGGCAGGATGGATGCTCCTTCAATGAATAATGGACTCACTGATGACAAAACCAAAGGCTGGATGATGAGAAGGCCTGGTATGTTCAATGACACCCATCACAACACTGCTGTCAGGGTGGTTCAAATTCGGAAAGAGAAATGCTGACTGATATTAGGTTTCAGATTTAGGAAATTGCAAGGAAGAAAGAAAGATGCATTGCGGGGGGGAAAAGTACTTCTTAAAATGTGATAATAATATGTCTTTCTCAAGCCATACTAAAAGAGGAATTTCTAAAATTAAATATTCTGAAAGTTTTTATGTCAAACATCAGCAAGGTAATGGAGAATGTAGACTAACAAGGCTTGTTGTTCTGGGGTTTGCTATAAATATTTCTATTCAAAAAGGGATACAGGCTATCAATTTTATCATTCTCTGCACCTAGCTCAATAAAGGCTTTTCATGGCTGGGATTCTGTACTCTGCTCTAGTTAACAGAGCACCTTAGTGGCTCAAATCCCCTATGTTCCTATCCCATTTCATTTTGTGTTCAAGAGAGAAAACCCATTTCAGAGCTGAAAGGGAAATCCCAGATATTCTAGCCCAACATCCTGAACTTTCCTTGTGAGGAATCTGAGGCCCAGATTTGACCTAAGTCTTCTAACCAGAACTAAAGTCCCCCAAATTCTAGAAGGAAGATTTTTGTCTGTTCCTCGAAAGACATAATTTTTATCTGACCATTCTCCCATACCTAATTCTTACATATCTCCTCTCTACTAAAAGAATGTCAGACTTCCTTGCCATCTCACAGAATGCCTTGCTCATAAAAATAACTTACAGATTTATTATTAAAGTCAACATATCAAACTCTAGTTGTTACGTTCTCATCTCCTTGAGCTAAGGTGCTTAATACTACATCTGCAATGTATCAAGGATAAGGCCTCTGTCATCAAAATGCAAAGCCAATGTGAATTCTACATGTAGGAAAATACTTGGATTATCTACGTTGTAGTTTTACAGGTGACACAGATCAGAAATTCTTTAAATGTTTTCTCAGTCCAATTCACTGAAGAGAGACAACACACAATCACAGTAATAAGAGTTCACATCAGCAGTGGTTTTCCTGGAGGGACATCCTTAAGGACAGAATATCAGCATCTCTAGGGGGTGAATGGTTGTTTGCAGAAAAGAGGAGTTTGAAAAAAAAAAAAGAAAATCAGAAAAGGTCTCATTCGTCTTTCTTAAAATATATAGATATTCATATTTTGGGTACCATGAATTATGTCTGAGGCATGGGCATTATACATATAATGTAACAGTCAAACTCCAGCCCTGGCGTGTGTAGTGGACAACTAGGGGGCCCATGTGTGAGTTTACACCATCGCAGAGGCTTGTGAACTATCCTGTAACTGCTACTTTCAAAAACAGGTCTAAAAACAGAACTGACTATAGGCACCACCCTCATCCAGATGGAGTATCAGTGACAGTCCCAAGTTGAGCAGACTTGGGGACAGGGCTTGGTGACCAAGGAGAATAGAAGGCAGGAAGACACGGCATCAGGCCACCTCAGTTCCAATCCCAGCTCGGCCACACCCTGACGCTCCCACACAGAAAACTTCCACTTCACCATTCCTACTGGGAGTTGGGGCAAGAAGCTCCTTCAGATCCTCCAAGTTTAGACTATCTGTTCATCTCTTTTCGTTCAAAGAGCAAGCACTTAGTTGTTTGATAATAAGCAGAATTTTCCAATATGCATCAAATTACTCTGCCTGCTATTTCAGATACTCATAGCAACTAAATAACAGCACAAAGATAAAATATATAGAACTTACAGACATCATGAGAAACATGATTATCTATGTGTAGATATTAGACAAATTCATGCATCCTAGGAGGGCATAAAGCCCATGTTTTGGATTGGTCAGTCAATCCGCCACTGTACAGCTAGTAGGTGTCCCACTCAAGGGGATCTAAATAAAATCCTTGAAAAATAAGATGCATCAGCTTTTTTTTTTTTTTAATTTTAGATCCAGGGGGTACATGTGCAAGTCTGTTATAAGGGGATATTGTGTGAAGATGCATTCGCTTTTTAATCACTGTTCCACCTCCCTGGTTAACATCATGAATCTGGAAATGAACAAAATAAGCCCAATAACACAGCATGAATGGATGTGTTAATATTTTGTCTCTTAGAAATAAATGCAGTGCTTGTCCTTGGTATACTGAAACAAGGGTGTAATAGAAGAGGTTAGGGTAAAAGAAAGAAGAAAATATTAAACAATTCTTCATGAAACACTGGGGAATCTCTCTGCTGGTGTTACAAAGGAAAAAGAATTGACCCTTTGAGCTTACAAGGTGAAGCACATACCTCTTGAGAAATGTGTTTCCTTTGTTCATCTGAGGAAATCTAAACTCTATTCCAAATAAGCTTTCTAGGCTGCTTCTGGGGCCGGGAACAGGAGGGCATGTGATCACTTACTTGGATTTATGAAGCATGCCTACCTTTGGAGAATTAAAAATGTGCACACACACAAACATTAAACTTACTCTTATTGTCTAGCTGAGCTCGATATTTACTAAATCCTTTCAGTCGGACTCTCTGGCCCAGAAGATCAAGGAATTCTTCAAAAGCTGGTCCCGCCGTCTCATTGTTATACATCTCTTCCTCTGTGCTCTGGCCTGCTTTGCAATAAAGGATCCCGATCTTGTGCTGAAAGCTCAGCTGAAATGGGGGAGAAATATAATTACTTGGCAAAGCATATCAGACAAGCTAACTTCCAGTAAAATTAAAACTACAGAAGCTGAGAATTGTTCTAGGAAAGCATGCCAGAACAATTCCCATAAGTGAATAAGCAAAAGAGTAGGCAACTGCCACTGTGAAAGATGCTACAAATAATAACCCAGAAACCCCAGAATACAGCTGGAGACATGTCAGAAACCCTAACAAATTAAATGTATGGCTGTGGCCATTTGGGATTTGCCAGGTTTCCAAAAAGGATAGGAAGTCAAGGTTCAAGTATCTACTTAAAAATAGAACTGTGGAAATACTTCATCTTACACACTTCATATAGTAATTAGGGTAATCTTCTAAGTCGGAAAGAAAAAAAGGCTACAAACCTTTAAGTTTTTCTCTGTAGTAATACCTTTTATTTCTTTATCTGAATTTTATATATTTCTTGTAAATATGTAAGACTATAAGGAAAAAACAAATCAAATTAAGGTCTGGTAAGGGTAGGATTCCAATGGAAATTATGATATATGTATACAAACATTAAAATGTTTTGTTGCCATAAAAAAGTAACTCTGGCTTACGATTACATTCATTTGTTACATTTTTTACTATCTTGAAAACATCTGCTAAATATACAGTGTACCACAAAGAATCCAATAGCAATTGAGGAGCTCCTGCTGTAATCCTATCTTACAGTCAATGCCAGGTTCATGTTGGAAGCCATGGGACTTCCTCCCAAGGCCAGTAAGAAACTGGAGGCATTTTCACACCTTTCTTATGTCCCCCAAAGAGGAACTGCTTCTAACTCATGCAATCAGAGCTCTTAATCTTACTACCAGCAATCTGAGCCTGAAAGGCTGACAGATTATCAGACATCGCCAATTCTCTAAAGACATCAATCCACAACACTGTTCACTTTTATTATCAAGCTGTAAAACAGAACCTTTAATCAAAATTCATAGCTATCTTAGTAAAATAAGGCAAAATGATACTCATTTCCCTTGAGCAGCAAAGTGATGACAGCAGTCTCATCCATATTATTACCTAATGACAACATACTATGCAAGAAAGGCATGCAACGTCTGCCTGGGTGACCTCAGCAGACATCAGGAAACATTTACCACATGCTGGATAAACTTAGAGTTGAGCAGGTAGAGTCAACTACCCATATATTCTGAATGCATTCCGATCTTGACTAAGTGCTATGAGAAGGCTATAAAAGGAAATATCACCTGTTTACAATCTGACTGAATCAGCTACCTATACCGATGGATGCTATGGCATTGCAGTTCATGGGCCTTGGGACCCTGTCAAGGCCAGGAGATCCCCAACTGCATAGCGAGAAAAATGATCTGTACCTTGAGTGTGGGGATATGAGATGGTGTGCATACACTACTCAATACCTAACATTATGAATTTATTGAGCTACTACTTTAGTAGGGTCAAGAAGAAAAATTTGTATTCACCCAGAGATTGAGGAATCAATGTTTCTGATCAACTCAATTATCTAAGTCAATGAGATACCACATTTACTGAGAATAGACAATCATCTTCAAAAAAATATTAAGTACAATAAAAATGCCTAACCTCATTTTATTGTAAACATTATTTGCTCCTGAGTGACTCAGAAGACATTTCAGGGTCTTAAAGTGCATTAGAGAAACTATTATGATCACCAATTATTACACAGATGTTCGTGACATCTGTGATTGTTGGAATCTATATGAATACTAAAATGTGGCCTGAAAATGACCACTTCCCATCATGGACAACGATGTTAGTTGACTTCTCTTTCACTGTGAGAAGAGGATTTCAGCTCCCTGGTTATTTGGCCCTGGCTGTAATTAGAGTCCACCGTTAATACCGAAGAATACTAACTCACTCCAGTGCCTGTGCATCTCAGTGTCCACTGCTTCCTCTGCACCCAGTAGAATTGCTGCACCATCATCCTCATCCTCGGAGGTCACTCTGCTCTGGTGGCTGCTGTCCCTGTTCGCCCATCCTCTATTCCTTTACCTCCTGCTCACCTGAGACCATTGCCAGTGCCATGTGCCACATCATCTGAAGGCCATCTTTGTCTCCATTGCCCCAGCACGCAAAGGCAGCTTGCCTCAGTCTGCTCTGGCATCTGCAAGAGGAAACCCCTTCCTCTCCTCCCATCCAGCTCTTAAATGAGGAGTCCTGGAGTAGAGCTGTTTGGGAGCCGAGGGTGTGCATGGTATGTCAAGCAGAGCCGTCACCAGCCTGGCTCACTTCCTCTCTGACTCGGAGAGCCTTGTGGGCTTGCTATTTCTTGTGAACTCTCATTCAGGCAAAGGCCAAACAACTGGACAACTGAAATTTCATGAGACCTCATTGCTGACTGTTGTACTGTCAACTTCACACCCCTCTCTTCCCAGCCATCGGACACACCAGCCTGTGTCTAGATCCTAACAGGATCTAGAACAGGATTTGCATTTCCATCTAAGAAGCTCCTGGGCCCATGGGAATCAGTGGATGTGACTAAAGCAGATTTCAAGGCCCTCAGATGTCTTAGGACAGCTGCCATACTCTGGCTCCAAAGAAAACACCTTGCTACACACATGGAGTGACACAAGTTTACCACTCACAGGTATTTGCCAGTCATGCCTACTTTTGATCAGTTTGCCAGGTGAAACTTAGGAGACAGAAATCTCTCCAGTGACTCAGAGTAAAGAATTGTGGCTTGTTTACAACAAGGGCTGATTCCAGTAAAACAAGAATGAAATGAATAATGAAACAGAATGAAATGTTCAGTAAAGATATCTCTCTCACCAGAGTCTCTTTCAGAAACCTGGAAAACAACTGAAATGTGGTATCAACTAAATACTCCCGGGGTATATCAGAAGGCTAGCAACATACTTCTTCAGCTCCATCATAATATAAAGTAAAGGAGGGACTCCAGATTCCATACACTTAACATTCCTCATTCTCTCAGACCAAGGCTTCATTAAATCTCAAGCTAAGCCTAACATTTAAGTCTATTGCAGCAACCTTTATTTAACTGTTTGATAAGAGCTGTGCCAGTCCCACAGTCCTGGGATAGAACTAGGCTTGCATTTGGACATAAGCACTGCTGCAAACTAAAAATATCCACTTGTCAAAATTCCCTATGGCTTCAGTGCTGACAGCTGGACACACATACATACTGCCCAGACAGCAGAGGATCCAACCCACGTCCCATTTTCTTTCTGAGACAGGATAAAAACTGGCTGCTCTATTTCCAAGGCCAGAAGCTTTGTTATTATTGACAAGAAAATTTACATTCAAATGAAGGTGAGAAGAAAACAAAGCCTCAGAATTGTCTCGAGCATATCTTTGAGTGTGCAATAAATCCCTTCCCCTCCATTCTCCTGACTCAGACTACTTGTTCTAAGCATGTAATCTCATTTATTTAGACCTGCTTGACTTCGGTTGAAACAAATCTGATATTTGAGTAAACATATATATCTGGGGTGAGAGGACAAGAGGGGAATGGGGCAGTTGGCCTTAAGAACCAATGAATAACTCTGTTAAGGATTTCATAATATTCTAAGATAGTGAGCTGTCATAATTCGTCTAAATAACACTTTGTTTACAGTCATCCTCTATAATTTTATGAGTTTACCTATTAAATACATTGGGATAGCCTTTTTAAAAAGGAAAAATGGGATTTTAGAACTGCAGACGTGAAATTATGTAGATAAAGTAGCAAAACGTCTTGTTTAATAATTACTTTCCTGAAAATTCTCCACAGTGTTTGACTCTTCCTTCTCAAAACATCTAACCAAACTGAAGGAACAGAAGGAATGATCTAAACACCCACAGTATCTCCTACTTCTGAAAAGTGTCTTGTACAGAGTACATATACTCAGTGGTTACATGACAAACCAGGATGGACTGCAAACTACAAAAGAGCGGAAACTAACAATATATGTAATTAGGTTACACACACACACACACACACACACACACACACACACGCACACATATTTTTTTGAGACAGAGTCTCACTCTGTCGCCCAGGCTGGAGTGCAGTGGTGCGATCTTGGCTCACTGCAACCTCTGCCTCCCGGTTCAAGTGATTCTCCTGCCTCAGCCTCCCTAGTAGCTGAGATTACAGGTGCCCACCATCACACCTGGCTAATTTTTGTATACTTAGTAGAGATGGGTTTTCACCATGCTGGCCAGGCTGGTCTTGAACTCTTGACCTCAAATGATCCACCCACCTTGGCCTTCCAAAGTGCTGAGATTACAGGCATGAGCTACCGCGCCCAGCCCATTATTAGGTTGTATTTTAAATATAATTTCAAGATTAACAAACCCTTAGACCAATAACAAAATTGCCCCATCCCTTCCTGGGAAGATTTACTATTAGGAAAATGAATAAAGAAACAGCACCGCTTGGAATAAACTCTCCACCACCCTAACAGGTTAGTGGCGATTTGTAAGGATTCTTTGGAAACTGGGATGTTAAAAAAGTTGCCCAATCTCTTTTAAAGATGAACATAAACAGTATGTTTTCCTCATGTACAATGGGAATCTGATACCATTAAGAGTTTTAGGGAGTTAAAATGGCACAGTGTGCTTAAGTTTGAACATCGTTAAGAAAGTATACCAAAGTCAAACAAATATAAAATCTAAAGAAAAGCCCATGAACTACTACTAGAGATACGAAATGCGTGGTTTTATCAAAGCAGAATCCCATTTTCTAAATACATTCATTGACATCAGACTGTAAATAGGTGTTCAGCAAAAATACTTAAAATGCCTGGTTTTTAGAACTGCCTCGGATAGCTTCTAGATCTATCTGACTACAAAGACATTCGAAAGGAGCTTGCACTTGATTCAGAAGACAATAGGGGGCCATCAAAAGTTTTCCATTAGGATGTGGCAGATCAGAGCTATATTTTAGGAAGATTCTTCTAGTAGAAGAAAGGTAGCCACATTCACTGATGCCTAAAATAGGCTGATGAGGATAGAGACTGATGGTTACATCAGTCAACTTGTAGCTGCCATGATGTCTCTTTTCACTGCTCGGTAAAAGAAGCCCTAAATGGTGGCAGTGGCAGAGCCCTGAGGGCTTCTGGGGAACATGAACCATCTGTAAAACTTTCTAGAGCAGCCTCGGGGGACCAAATGAGAGCTTCATCCACCAGGCACCTGCTCTGTAGTACAGTGATATATTTTAAAGGGAGAACTGACATATCCTACAAAGGGATCAAGAACTACCTACCACATGGGTGGCAAGTTCTTTTCACCAACTCTCTTACAACATGCAAATGAATGCTATTCTTCTCATCAAGCCTGCCTGAACTTTAAGCACTTTCAACCCACCCCGATGTATCCTCTCTATCCCGCCATAACATGTTTTCATCAACTGTTTCATGAACACTTCATATATTGTTCATATATATGTTTCATGAACATTTCATATATTCCACATACTTTACCAGTCATAATGGTAAACCTATTCTGTGTATTACGCAATTTAAAAGTCACCTGCTCAAGTTTAGAGTATGGTTTTTTTTTTTTAATATGTCAGCTTTCATTCCTGAGACAGATCTCAAGATTATTCATTCTGAGTGTTACAATATCTGCTTCTTTTTGCTAATAATGCAGTGTTAACTTGTTAGACCAATTAGTTTCATCACTTTTAGAATTCTAGCCATCTGCGGTGCCAAATATTCAACTTTAACCACAGTATTATTTGGTCAACCAAGAAATACCTCATATTCCCTCTAAAACATGCAGAAGAATCCTACTTGGGAAATTCTAAAAATATACATTGTCACTGTCTTTTTAAAATCATGGCTTTACAAACAAATCCACTGGTTTAAAATAAGTTGCATGCACTTGAGCATGTACTGCTCAGTTTCCTCTATGAGTTATTTTGCACCTGAAACTTAAAGACCTTTTTTCCATATTCTGAACCACCATCTCAATCCTGTTCATCATTAACTCTCTCCTGGACAATGTCAATAATCACATAATTGATCTCCACATAGCCATCAGTCTCTATCTTCGGCGGCCTGTACAATTCCCTTCTACCAGAATAATCTTCCTAAAATACAGCTCTGATCACGTCACATCCTAATGGAAAACCTTCAATGGCTCCCCACTGCCTCCTGAATCAAGGGCAATCTCCTTGGCCTAGCATACCAGGTCTCATTTGTTCTAGTCTCGTCTTACTTCCCCTACCCCACCCCACCTCACCACCTCTCTTCTCTTTGTAAAGAAACTAGTCATAGTTCCTAAAACAGCAACTACTCATGTCTCCCTCTTAGAATTCTATCCAAGTCCAAAGGCCTAGTTAAAATGCCACCTCTTCAGGAGAGTTGCCCAGCCAGATGTTATTTCTTCTTTCCCCAAGGTACTCACTACATTTACACCTCTCCAAGATCTCTTACCAGATTCTGCCTTGGAGAGGCCTTTCTGCTCTTAGTCTTACTGTCCTCATAGGCCAGGGACTAGGTCTTAGTCAGCTTCAATCTTCCTAACGCTTGCTGTTCACACCCATCTGTCAGCATGATGCCTTCCACATAGTAGACAAGAATAAATGTTGGTTCAGGAAAAGGGCCATAAGAGATTTTTAAACCCTGGAAAAAAACTACTATTGACTTCTATTAATCATGCAATCAGATGCACTCTTGCAAGCTGGGACACACCAAAACCTTGGTAATAACAAAAAAAAATCACAACTCAGCAGGAGGTGTGTTATACTATAATGGCATCATGTTTCCAAACTAGTATAAAAACATATTTGGGAAAAACTAAAGAGAAAATGTTCTAAGGCATTTAAAATAAATGATCTTACAAGAAAGATGGATGGGAAAACTCCAAAACTTTCAGAAACAGACACAAATTCACACACAAACATACAATCTCACATTATACACACCCCTTGTTCATCAAGCTTGAGCAGCTGCTCTGAGACCTTGGGTGAGTTGGAAGCCTGTCGCAAACACTGAATGCTCAGCTCTGGAATGACGTATTCCAAAACTTCTTTGAGAGGTAGTCCTCGTGCGGTACCATGCCTAGCAGTAGAGGGTATAGCATCTTCTAAAATTGCTCCTCTCAGTGTTGTAAGCTGCAGTGACAAAACATAAGACTTCGGTTAATATTGATTCTCAATTACCTACTCACAGCCTAACTGTTTGGCTGCCTTAAGACAGGAAAAAGAGAAGCAAGGCTCTTTCTGAGTGTAGTGAAAGGGGCGACAGTGTTCCATTTAAGGAAACAAAATCAACACTCAAGGAGTCTTTAAACAGTAACAGTATACAAAGATCAGGAACAAGCCAGGCGGAATGGAAATGAGCAGATGTATGCCTAAGAATGAGAAGAAGCAAGGCAGAGCAATGCTATGAAAATTAGGACATTCCTACAACTCTGAACCCACATGAGAAGGTTCACACAGAGAGGAAACCAGACATGATGATCCTGGACCTGACCATGATCACCCTTCTTCCATCCTCCCTTTCTCCCATCTCTCCATCTTCTTTTCTTCCACTCCCTTTCTTATCTTACATTTAATTTTCCATAATGACCATTCCCGAGGCTGAACAGGGGAGCAGCAGCCAGTGGTATCCATGGGCAGGGTGATTCAGGGCTGAGAAAATTGCCACTAAATTTTGTCTCATGACTTTTTAGATGTCCTCAAATTCACCACAGAAACATGCAATGAATATTTGGAGCACGTGCCTAAGATCTAATATGATGAGAGAGAAAACCCCAGAACCATAAATCAAGAGAACTGGTTCTAATCCAACCTCTCTCTGACTCTGGTAAGAGTCCTTAGACTACTAACACCAGGAGCTGGGGTGATGGCAGTCATAAGGATACCTAACGTTTGCATAATGTTCCATAACACTGGACAACAGAACTATCTGCAACGAGGACAATGTTCTCTATCTATACTAATACAGGAGCCCCTAGCCACATCAACTATTAAACACTCGAAATCACTAATGTCACTAAGGAAAAGGATTTCTAATTTTGTTCAGTTATTTTAAATTTAACATTTAAATTAAATTAAGTATTTAAATTTAATTTAAGTAGCCACCTGTGGCTAGTGACTACTGAACTGAACAGCATAGGTCTATAACTTAAAATATGTCACTTTAGGAGAGGGGCTTTATCTCACTTATACCTAGAATAGAGCCTAGGTCACTGGGACACCTACGTACTAGATAAGATGAACAGGGGTACACATGTTCATGCAGCTGGAAACTAGAAAAGGGCTCTGTGTTTTCTCTGATCTAGAAGCAGTTAACCAAAATACATATTCTGGAATATCTCCCAAATATATATCCCTCTAATTAAAATGAGCTAAAAGGATAAAACCTAAAGTGCTGGACAGATCTAATTCTTTTCTTTTTTAAGAGATAGGGTCTTGCTATATTGCCCAGGCTGGAGTGCAGGGCCTATTCACAGGTGTAACCATACTGCCCTACAGCCTCAACTCCTGAGCTCAAGCCATGCTCTCACCCCAGCCTCCTGAGTAGCTGGGACAATAGGCATGTGTCACCATGCCCAGCTTCAGACTTAATTCTTTATATAAATCAATATCTACCTATTTAGCTATACATGTTGTATAATTTATACAAGAATCTCACTTTCCACTAAAAGCAAGACAAGCAAGAATCTAACCTGGGTCCTCAATGTAACAAAGCGTGGGTAGTAATGACTGTCCTGCTGAGTTTTGGACTTGCATGGGGCCTGTAGCCTCTTCGTTTTGGCCAATTTCTCCCATTTGGAACAGGAACATTTACCCATCCCTGTACCCCCACTGCATCTTGGAAGTAACTAACCTGTTGTTGATTTTACAGGCTCATCAACGGAAGGGACTTGCTTTGTCTCAGATGAGACTTTGTTCTGTGGACTTCTGAGTTAATGCTGGAGTGAGTTAAGACTAGGGGACTGCTGAGAAGGAATAATTGTTGCAATGTGAGAAGGAAATAAAATTTGGGAGGGGCCGGGGGCAAAATGATATGGGTTAGATTTGTGTCCCTGCCCAAATCTCATGTCAAATTGGAGAAGAGGCCTCGTAGGGGTGATTGGATCACAGAGGTTGAATTTTCCCCTTGCTGTTCTCATGACAGTGAGTGAGTTCTCACAAGATCTGATGGTTTAAAAGTGTGTGGCCCTTCCCCCTTTACTCTCTCTCTGTCCTGGTCCACCATGATAAGATGTGCTTGCTTCCACTTCACCTTCCGTCATGATTGTAAGTTTCTTGAGGCCTCCCAGTCAGGTTTCTTGTTAAGCCTGCGGAACTGTGAGTCAATTAAACCTTTTCTTCATAAATTACCCAGTCTCAGGTGGTTCTTTATAGTAGTGTGAGAATGAACTAATACAGCCACTTAATATCCATGGCATGTTTCCAAATTTTTCATTTAGAATAAAATACTGCAATGCCCTTTTTAATTATCTTAAATGTTGCAATCATTAACATTAAAAAAAAATAAATTCAGTACCCTATCTAAAACAAACTGAAGCAGTAACACCAAAGGAGGTTTAGACTTTAGCCCAATAACTACGGCAAGCAGCCCCATTACCTCACTTGTCCTGAAAGCCACCCTGTAGTTGAACTGGGATCCTTCTTTCTCCTTGGCATCTTCCACCTTCTCTCTCCGGATGCTGACTGCTACTGGACCAAGGTTTTCATCTATTCCAAAGTAGTTTTGGTGCTCTATAATGGAAGAGAGAGGGTGGCATCAAAAGAATGAAAAAGGAACAAAGAGCAGGATGGATATCTCTCAGTTTGTGTATCAAATCTCTGAAGAAATACCACATAGCTCATACACAGTGATTTCCTTGTATCTGTTTCATCAAGTCTTCTGGTTTCCAGTTCGGATGCACGCCTACATCTCATTTTCAATTACTTCCTCCTCTCATTCTGCTTTTCACTAGTTCATGAACAGCAAAAGCCTCCCTAACCCAAAATTGTTATTTTGTGATCATGTGAATAGCATCATCAGAAAGAGGTATTGTCATTCTTAGAAACTGTCAAAAGAGGAACATGGCTACTTGTAGAATCAATATTGAAAACAGTTTCCCTCCGTCTGGGAAAGTCATCATCTTTTACCGAATGAGGGCACCAGAGATGACCTAAGTAGCCACACAAGCCAGCCAGATTAATCTTGGTGATCAGTGGTGTAGCTAAGATCGCCTTTTCATTACAATGTCGCTAAAACAGCATAATGTTTATAAAGCTTATAATGTTCATAAAGTCCAGGGCACAATTTAGCAACAGAAAATACACAAAAGGTCAGTTAGTTTCTAAAGTCAAATTTTATCCACAAATCCTATAACTTGGTTTAAAATGTCATCAGCTAATCATTGCTTTCACATAAAATCACTGGTCCATCTACATGGAAAGGGTGGCACCTGAGGCCATACTGTCCATCTAACACACGGATCCCTCCAGGACATCTTTCCTAAGAGATGGTCACATTTGTCTCTTCCTCGTATGTGCAATCACTATGTGTGGGCATTGTTTCAGCCATGGGAACATGGGGAGAACATTCCAGAAAATAGCCGCTACTTATGAAGCAAATACTCTATTCTGAACCCTTCAAATGACATGAAGCTTACTGCTCTGTGAGCAACTCCCTTTAGACTGCTGGTTTCTTGTCTGTGAGCTCTGTTAAAAGCAGCCAAAGTATCTCATTGCAACTTTCAAACTTTTTAAATGTTTCCTCTGAAATGACCCGAACTTAACACAACATTCAAGATATGGTCCAATACACAAAATAGTGGGAACAATTACCCAAATGCTTATTAATGCAGCTTAAAAATTTATCTATTTTTAGCAGCCCCATCACACCAATCATTCATGTGAGCAGGTGGTAAACGCAAACCTCCAGGTGTTATTCATTTATTTCTTAATGAACTGCTGCCAGGTCCATTCTCCCAGGTGTAGCCTCAAAAAATCGATTTTTTTTCACCCTGACTTAAGGTTTTGGCTACAAAGAAACATAATACAGGGAACATCTGCAAACTTGAAGGAAACCTATAGGTATTCCAAAGGCTTTTGGTTATGCCAATGCTTGCCACAATGATTTCTGAAGGAATAAGAAACGTTGCTGAGAAAGTAGAAAACAGAAAGAGATCAGCAAAGGAAAACAGCACCTGAATCACTCAGAACACACACTATCCAAAGCCACTAATGAATACTGGCTAGACCTTCAAAAGGCAAATCATTTACCTATTTGCTGTTTGCAACCAAATGGGATTAGTACTGACATTATTTCCCTTTAGAGTCAGGGGTAGAAGCAGCAAGTAAACTATTTTAAAAGATGAAAGGTGGGGGCCGGGCACGGTGGCTCACGCCTGTAATCCCAGCACTTTGGGAGGCCGAGGCGGGCGGATCACGAGGTTAGGAGATCGAGACCATTCTGGCTAACATGGTGAAATCCCGGCTCTACTAAAAATACAAAAAAAATTAGCCAGGTGTGGTGGCAGGTGCCTATAGTCCCAGCTACTCGGGAGGCTGAGGCAGGAGAATGGCGTGAACCTGGGAGGTGGAGCTTGCATCGAGCCGAGATCACCCCACTGCACTCCAGCCTGGGTGACAGAGCAAGACTCCGTCTCAAAAAAAAAAAAAAAAAGATGAAAGGTGAATTATTGATATGGTATATAGTCCTAGACTTGCACAAAAGGAAACTAGCCTATTTGTTTTAGTGGGTAATAAATCCCTTATGCTGCATAATGCTGCTTTGGTCAGCGACGCAACACATATACCAATGGTGGTCCCATGAGATTATCATGAGGCTGAAAAACTACTATTGTCTAGTGATGTTACAGATGTCATTACATGGGAATCCAACATATTACTCAAAGCCAAAAAAAAGTTCAGAAAAGTAAATTCTTTTAAGTAGAAAAAAGCTTACAGAATGAGAAATAATAGATACAAAGAAAGCATTTTTGTACAATTGTACAATGTGTGCATTAAGCTAAATGTTATTACAAAAGAGTAAAAAAGTTAAAAAAATAAAGTTATAAAGTAGAAAAGTTACTGTAAGCTAAGGTTAATTATTAAGTAAATTTTTTTATAAACGTAGTGTTGCCTAATGTAAAGTGTTTATAAAGTCTGCAGTAGCATAATGTCCTACATTAACTCACTACTCAATCACTGACTCACGCAGAGCGGATTTTAGTCAGTCCTGCAAGCTCCATTCATGGTAAGTGCCCTATACAGGTGTACCACTTTTGATCTTTCATACAGTATTTTTACTATACCTTTTCTATGTTTAGATACAAAAATACTTACCACTGTGTTACAACTGCCTACAGTATTCAGTACAGTAACATGCTGTGCAGGTTTGTAGCCTAGGAGTAATATGCAATACCACAGACGTACAGGCTATCCCATCTAGGTTTCTGTAAGCACACTCTACAGCATTTGCACAATGATGAAATTGCCTAAGGATACATTTCTCAGAACATATCTCTGTTCTTAAGCGATGCATGGCTGTATTGTGTACTGATAATGGCTAAGGTAACTATTACAAACATAAAAAGCTCCAGTGACATTAAGCATACATAAACAAAGATCTGGTTTTAAGAAGAGCTGATCCAGAAGCAGGCAAAAAAAAAAAAAAAGATATTCAATGAAAGACTAAAAGTTAATTGTCTACTTCAGACTACTAAACTAAGTAGTATACTGTCACTATATTAAGCTGGCATTAGTGATTACTGGACCCATGGCAGTAGATCCAATGGAAAATGCATTTTTAAACTTAAAACTAAATCATTTTGGAATACTCTCAGTTGCAGTTAGTTAACCATGCTGACAATAACTTTCGTTTTTCCCTCAATGGGCCAAATGCATCATAAGCCAAATGCATTAAGAAAAATATTAACAAAGCACACAAAAATACAACAGTCATAAGACAAAAGCTTCCTTCTTATAACACATTTCAAAAAGTTACTTGCAAAAATACTCAATTCTATATTTGGTATTTGATGAGCCCCATAACAAGATCCAAAAGAATTTCAAATTATTGTAGGGAGTACAAAAGTAAATACATAAAACTACCTTTTATGGTAAGATAGAGAGCCCCAGATTAAGAAAATCAAATCACTAATTCTAATACATGACAACATAAAATGATCATATGTGTACTGCTCTCATACTCAGCAGGTGCCACAAGGACAGAAAACAGAGCCATGGCTGCCAGGGGCTGGAAGGGAGAGCAAAGGGCCAACTACAGAGGAGGCATGGGAGAACGTTCTGAGGTCACAAAGCTATTCTACACTGATTGTGGCAATGGTAACACCATATTTACTTCTCAAAACTCTCAGAAGTGCACATTTTAGAAAAGTCAATTTTACTGTACATAAAATATACCTTCAGTTTTAAAAACTGGAGGGAGGCAGAGTCGATGGGGGGAAGGGCCAGTGGTCCTTGCAAATGGACCGGGGCCTTCTGCACAGACAGACGCCATGACCATTTCACTCCCCCACAGCCTGTCAGTGGGGACAGTACCTATTCCTCAAGTCATCATCCTTCTCTCTCATTACTGTTTCCTTAATTACTATTTAATCCTCAATCTGCATCAAACTTTCTGCCATGCTATAGCTCCACTCAAGGTCTTGTTGCCAAATTCAACTATCTTCCAGGTCTCCTCCTGCCAGAGCTGTCTGCTATATGACACTAGTGGCCACTCACTTCTTGGCTGGGGCCCTCTACTCCTCCACTACTATGGCATCTCCCTTCCAGGTGAGATTGCTTTCTGGTCTTTCATTCTGGGTGTCTGGCATGGCTCCTCCTCTGGCCTCTCCTTACAGCATGAGTGTTTCTCAAGACTCCAGCTTGATTCTGTCTCTGTCTTTATACTTATATGAATGTCTATCTTCTATCTTTCCAACTACTTACCCATCTTCTCCTTTACATTCCTCAGTGATATCATCCCAAGCTTCCTCCAGGCTCTTCTCTCACAAATCCCCTGACTCACAAAGGTCTAGGGAAGCACACTCCACCGTTCATGGAACCAATCCTGCTCCCTCTGCCTGGAATGTCTTCCACTTTTCTTCACTTGACATTCTTCTTACTCATGATTCAAGACTCAATCCAAACATCATTTCCACTGGAAATACTCCCCTCACCTCCAAAAAGGCCAAATCCTTCCAATTTTGCATCCCAAGGCCCTAGTGTTGTAGTGCCTAATAAATGACAGGTGCGTAATAAACTGTTCTTGAATCACTGACCTAAAAGTAGACTCCTCTGGTATTGTCCAAAAGTAATGGTTATATCTGACCTCAAGCAGGAATATCGAAATAAAAACAAGGAGGTAGCTCATTTCATGCCAGGAAGTGATAAGACAGTGTGAAGCATCTTGGAGGCTGCAGCAGGCATTTCTCTCAGTGACCGGAGCAATACAATTTCTTGAAGTATTTATAAAACTGAGAACTTATATATCTATTGGAACTTACATGGCAAGAGACCTATCATGTCCTACCGCTGTAACAAATTTCCAAATTTCTAAAAACTTCTGGCTTAAAACAACTCCATTTACTGCACACAGCTCTGGAGCTCAGAAGTCAGTTTCAATAAGCAAAAATCAAGGTTCTGGAGTGACTGCATTCCCCTGGGCAGCTCTAGAGGAAAAATCCATTTCCTTGCCTTCTCCAGCTTCTAGACCTACATTCGTTACGTTTCTTGGCTCATGGCCCTTCCTCCATCTTCACAGCAAGCAGCCTAGCATCTTGTTTCAGTGGTCACATTGCCTTTCTCTTCTGTAGTCAAATTTCCCTCTGTTTTCCTCCTTATAAGGACACCTGTGATTGCATTTAGGTCCCAGCCAGGTCCCGCCTGGATAATCCAGGATATCTCCCTATCTCAAGATCCCTAACTTAACCACAACTGCAAAGTCTCTTTTGCCATGAGGGAGTGTACACAAATTCCAGGGATTAGGACCTGGACACCTCTGGAGTCCATTATTTAGCCTTCCAAATATACTTAATCCACTTTAATTCACTTATTCAAATGTTGAACAGTGGATGTCTCAACTGTGTGCCAGAAACTGATAAATACTGGGGATACAAACATAGCCTGCTTCAAAATGTTTTAGTGCCGTGGGGGTAATAATATAGGAAAGAGACAAAAATTACACTCATCAATTGCCCTACTTTCCCTGGAGACACAGTAACATTGAAATTAGGCCAGATAATAACCCTACAATGGCCCCTAAGAGTTAAAATGAAAGAAGAGTCACACCTGTTTCACTCTAAATGAAAAGCTAAAAACGATTACGCTTAGTGAGGAAGGCATGTCAATAGCCGAGACAGGCTGAAAGCTAGGCCTCTTGAACCAAACAGTGAACCAAGTAGTGAATGCAAAGAAAAAGTTCTTGAAAGAAAGTAAAAGTGCCACTTCAGAGAACACACGATTAAGAAGCAAAACAGCCTTACTGCTGATATGAAGAAAGTCAGAGTGGTCTGGATAGAAGACAAAAGCAGTTACAACACTCCCTTAAGCAAAAGCCTAATCCAGAGCAAGGCCCTATCTCTCTTCAATTCTATGAAGGCTGACAGAGGTGAGGAAGGTGCAGAAGAAAAACTGGAAGCTAGCAGAGGCTGGTTCATGAGGTTTAAGGTAAGAAGCTATCTCCACGCGGTAAGTGCAAGGTGAAGTAGCAAGTGCTGATGGAGTGAAGCTATACCAAGTTAGCCAGCAAGTTATTTAGGTAAGACAACAGATGACAGTGGCTACGATAAACAACACACTTTCAATACAGATGAAACAGCCTTCTAATAAAAGAAGATGCCATCCAGAATTTTCATAGCTAGAGAGAGGATGTCAATGCCTAGTTTCAAAGCTTCAAAGGATAGGCTTGACTCTTGCTAGTGGCTAACACAGCTGGTGGCTTTAAGTTGAAGCCAATGCTTATTGATCATTTGGAAAACCCTAGGGCCCTTAAAAATTATGCCAAACTACTCTCCCTGTGCTCTAACAGCAGAACAAAGCCTAGATGACAGCACATCTGTTTACAGTATGGTTTACTGACTTTTTTTTTTTTTGAGACGGAGTCTCGCTCTGTTGCCCAGGCTGGAGTACAGTGGCACGATCTTGGCTCACTGCAAACTCCACCTCCCGGGCTGACGCCATTCTCCTGCCTCAGCCTCCCTGGTTTACTGACTGTTTTAAGCCCACTGTTGAGTACTAGTTCTGAGACAAAAAACATTCCTTTCAAAATATTACTGCTTATTGACAACGCATCTCATCACCCAAGAGCTCTGACAGAAATATATAAGGAGATTACTGTTGTTTTCATGCCTGCTAACACCACATTCATTCTGTAGCCCATGAATCAGAGTATTTCTGGCTTTTAAGTCTTATTATTTAAGAAATACATTTTGTAAGGCTATAGCCGCCATACATAGAGATTCATCTGATGGATTTGGGCAGATAAAATTGGAAGCCTGGAAGGGATTCATCATTCCAGATGCCATTAAGAACGTTTATGATTCATGAGAGGATGTTAAAATATAAACTTAACAGAAATTTAGAAGGTGGCTCCAACCCTCGTGGATGACTCTGAGGGATTCAAGAGTTCACTGGAGGAAGTATTGCAGATATGGTAGAAATAGCAAGAGAACTAGAATTAGAAATTGAGCCTGAAGATCTGATTGAATTGCTATAATCTCATGATCAAACTTATACAGAAGAGGAGTTGCTTTTTATGGATGAGCAAAGAAAGTGGTTTCTTTTGATGGAATCCACTCCTGGTGAAGATGCTGTGAACGTTGTTGAAATAACAACAAAGAATTTAGAATATTGCATAAACTTGGTAGATTCAACAGTGGCAGAGTTTCCAATTTTGAAAGACGTTCTACTGTGGGTCAAATGCTATCAAATAGCATCGTATGTTACGGAAAAATCTTTCCTAAAAAAGATTCAATCAATGTGGCAAACTTCACTGTTGTTTTAATAAATTGTCACAGCCGCCCTAACCTTCAACACCCACCATCCTGATCAGCCAACAGCCATCAATGTGGAGGCAAGATCCTCCATCAGAAGAAAGGTTGACTTGCTGAAGGCTCGGTGATTGTTAGCACTTTTTAGCAATGAAGTATTTTTTTTTTTTTTTTTTTTTTTGTGAGACAGAGTCTCGCTCTGTCGCCCGGGCTGGAGTGCAGTGGCGCAATCTTGGCTCACTGCAAGCTCTGCCTCCCAGGTTCACGACGTTCTCCTGCCTCAGCCTCCTGAGTAGCTGGGACTACAGGCACCCACCACCACACCCGGCTAATGCAATGAAGCATTTACATTAAGATATGTACACTGTTCTTTTAGATATAGCACTATCTGCATAGTAGACTACAGTATAAACAACTTTTATATGCACCGTGAAACCAAAAACATTGTGCGACTCACTTTATTACAATATTCATCATATTGATGTGGTCTGACACTGACCCTACCGCATCTCTGAGCTGTGCCTTGTTAGGCTGGTCAGGCAGGGTCCAGCCATAAGACAGGTGCATCTTCTTCTTGGGCCAGTGAGTGTCCCAGGGAAGGCACCTCCAGTCTCCTGTCTAGAAATATTGAGCCCAAATAATGGGGTGGGGCTGAGCACCTCATTGTGTTGACTTTCACTAAGTACCCACTTTAGTTAAGTGCCTTAGTCCTGCCCTTTGCTGGGCCTGTTGTTCCATTTCTCCAGAATAAATCTTATTTCCCACCTGAGAGAGGGGCAAATAGTAAACTGGCTACAGGGGGAGGAGAGAGAATCTGGCCTTTTATAAAGCATGTAACCAGCCCTGTTTTCACTCCCCTAAGCCCTTATCCAAGGGTGCCTGGCTCTGTGGCATGGCCTGACTCACTTCTTGATGGCCTCTACCCTCTTCCCGTGACCACCCATGATGGGGGACGCAGGAGGCCGGCTCTCTCAATCTACTAGGAGTGGTCTTGCTCTTCTACCTGCTTTCATATACCCTGCCTTCCTTCGGCTGCTTCTCCCTGGAGCTTTTTTACTTTGTGGCATTATGCCCATTTTTTAAATTCCTTCACTGTCATTTTTATTGGTATTCTGGAAGGGGAAGAGATAACATGTTTTCAATTTGCCTTATTTAACCAGCAGTCTCAAACCCATTTACTGTGCAATGTTATAATTATAAAAAGCTTACTTACTGGTTGCCTAATCTGGGCTTTGATACTTATCACGTGCTTAACCTTGGGTTAGTTACAGACCCTTTCTTAACCTCAGAATCCTCCCGGCTCCTAATGTATCTAATCCATATAACACCATCATTGACCTGGGAGGGGTATTATAGTTGACAGCAGGCATGTTACTGGCAAAAAAAAGAAATCAAAACAAAAGAGCGCACATAAAATAAACTGCATCATCGAGTATTTTGATTTTGAGCCCAAAACTCCGGCACAGTTCATGGGTCAGCCTGAAGGTGATTCCCACTTTTAATCTCAAAATGCTGACCCAGAATCACCTGAGAGGTTACACTGCACTCACAGAAGTCTTTTTTAAGAAGTGGTGTATATACTTCACTGAGTAATTTCTATCATAAATTATACTTTTAAAAGTTTGGGAATCTAAAATTTGTATATTCCCCTTTTTATCAAAGATGGCAGGTGAATTAAAAAAAAAATTCCCTTCATGCCTACCTTGCCAATCTATGTCACAGACCCATTTTCCTCTTTCTGTCTCACACAGACATCCACTTTCTTATTGCGAACACAGAGATGAAGTTCCTGCTGTTTACAAGCATCACACCTGCAGACTCACAGCTTTTATGCCTCCTAACCATCTTCTAAGGGCTCACAATGCTTTTGGTTTCACCAAAGAATACAGTAGGTTACCTGGATGTGTTTCCAAAGAAATCAAAATCTTCTATTCAATAATGTAAGACGCTGCCTAGCTTTTATAAAGGGCATCTCCACATACCATTAGGACATACAGAGACTGTGCCCCCTCCCATAACCACCAGGAGGGAAATAGTTGCCCTTTTCAAATGATATCCTGCATCCCCCTTTCAGGAAAGACCTCCTTGTTTATCTGCATGGCAAGAGGCCCTTCCCATCTTGGGCAGAGGACAACGAGCAAGGCTTCCCAGGGTTGTGTGCATTCAGACCCTCACCCACCCAGAGTCTGTTCTTATTCCGGGCAGAAGATTTCCATAAAATTGCTTCAAGGGTGAATCAAATGAAATCCTTCCTTGGCAGAACAGAAGGTATGAAAAGACTGTTGAGAAGCTGAATGAAAATCCACCTATCATGCAAATACAACAGGGCAAGATAAAAAAAATCAGCTAACAAGATCGCAGTGCAGGAAATGAAGATGAGATTTAGTGCATTTCTGTGGTGCATTGTAACTGTTCAGTAAAGAAATAAATAATAATTTTAGCTCACAGGGAAAAAAAATGGGGGCAGGGGTGGTACATTGGACCCTAGCCCAAAAGCTGTTTCTAGATACGGTGATATCTTAGAAGAGAGGTTTAAGTGGTAACTCACTAATGAATTGACCAGTTAAGGATCACAACTCTGCAGGGCCTCCTGAGGCCAGGTACGTAAAAGACATTCACTCACTGCTCTGCCTTACAGGATTTATCAAAGCTGTTAGCATCCAGTGACCACAGCACCATTTATAAGTACACCAAGGCCACAAACAACTGTGCACCTGTACCTTCCAGTCCTTTACTTTGTTAATATGCACAGCAGAAGCTAGCTTGCTATTTTGCCATAAAATGCATTTTAAAGGTTCTTTGTTCTCTCAACCACTAGTTGATCATTTAATTGCCTACTCTCTGCTGATCTGGGTTACATAGGCAGTTAAATGCTCTTTCAATTCCTATCTATGATGTATCTTCTTTCACCTTTCTCTCCAAACAATTATGTGTATTTTAAATCACTTCCCTTTTTTCGAACACTCTAGAGTTATTTTTTAAAAAGTGAAAAGGGGACAATAAGTAAGTAAATGAGGGCAGGGCATAGTGGCTCCGGCCTATAATCCCAGCACTTTGGGAGGCAGAAGGAGAAGGATTGCTTGAGGCCAGGAGTTTGAGATCAGTCTGGGCATCACTGCAAGGCCCAGTCTCTACAATAAACCTAAAAAATACTAATAAATAAGCTGAGTGTGGTGGTGCATGTCTGTAATCCCAGCTACTCAGGAGGCTGAGGCAGGAGAATCGCTTGAACCCAGGAGGCAGAGGTTGCAGTGAGCCAAGATTGTGCCACTGCACTCCAGCCTATGAGATGGAGTGAGACTCCATCTCAAAACAAAAAATAACAACAACAACAACAACAAAAAACCACAAGAGTAATTCAACAGGCCGGGAGCAGTGGCTCACACCTGCAATCCCAGCACTTTGGAAGGCCGAGGCAGGTGGATCACTTGAGGTTAGGAGCTCAAGACCAGCCTGGCCAACATGGCGAACCCCATCTCTACTAAAAATAAACGAACTAGCCAGGCATGGTGGCGCATGCCTGTAGTTCCAGCTACTCGGGAGGCTGAGGCACGAGAAGTGCATGAACCTGGGAGGTTGAGGTTGCAGTGAGCCGAGATCGTGCCACTGCACTCCAGCCTGGGCAACAGAGCGAGACTCCATCTCAGAAAGACAAAAAAAAAAAAGTAACTCAACAACCTCAAGAAGTATCAAACACCTTTGTTAGTGTTTCCTGGATTAAATTACCGAATTTACCAGGAAGTTTTGAAAAACATAGATTTTTGTCATGTAAATTTTTGCTCTTTTGACCCAAATTTAACCAAGGTATTTGCTAAGCTTGAAAAATCCAAGGCATTACAGTGAAGACAATAATATTAAGTATCTTTCACAAAAATAAACTCAGTTCATCCTGTCTACTTATGAGGAGGCACAACTATTCTTACAAACAACACTGAGGCAGAAAGGTTAAGTGACTCGCTCAAAGTCACAATCTGGTGGGACAGTGAGGATGCAAACCCAGACAGTCCGGCTCTAGTGTTCTCTCACGGAAAGCAGCTTGAGGCTAAAAAAATTCATGCAAAGGTTTAAATTACAAAAATTAATTAATACAGGAAAGTGAACACAACTTAAAGATGAGACAACAAATGTATCCTTGACATAAAAACGGTATCTTGAAAAACATGATTTCAAGGAAAGCTAGAGTGAAAAATGAAAAGACTGAAGAAGGAAGGAAGGCAGATTATTAAAGGCTTCTTTTCATAACCTGTATGGTTAGTATTTGCTCAAAAGGAAGAAGAAAACACTAGGAAAGTATGAAAGGCCTCACCACTTCAAAGAAGAGAGGTGGAGCCCACTGATAACGGGATGGCTGTCCAGCTTTTATTTTAATTAAGTGGGACAAATAGTGAAATAAATTTTGGGTCTAAACAAATACAAAGTGTTTAAACTAAGTTTCTACATTCTTTAAGAACTAATGCTCCAAAGACCTTTACTTCCAACTTACTGTACCAGCAGCAAAATGCCAACAAGTGTTGTCAGTTAAACGCCATGTGAGTCAAACTGTAAAGAAATATTAAGTCTTATTCCTTTTCCCAGGGAAATAATAGGGCATTCGTTCTTCTTCCCCAGTAACTGACTGAAGACTTTTTGGGGCCAGAGAGTCAGTAGGTTTTGAAATAGCATACAGACAGCCCTTTGTGGGTTCCTGCAACACTGTGGTGTATGGGAACTGTGACTGTCCAGATACGGCACCTCTGCAAGAGAGAAAGCCCCGGTGTTTTCCACCGACGGCCACATGGAGCCCGTGCGACCACAGCCCTTGGTGCTGAATCTCATGTGTATCTGGGCAATTCCTCCCCATTAAGGGCGCCTGTGGGACTTGACGGGACCTCCGTTTGGGGAGGCAATACTGGCCAGGGAGAGAGGTGAAGAACTCAGCCGATTATGTCTTCAGAGGGAGGAATGTGTATCTTAGAATAGTACTATTGTTAGATGGCACTCTGTTCACCCGTATGAATTTAATAGTGTCCAACTCCCTATTAATTTTCGTCAATGACTGTATAAAATCAGAAGGAAAAAACAGCTACCAGGCATGAAATTCAAAGCAAATGCAGCCATGCATCACTCAGCAGTGAAGTTCATTTGATATGTAAAGGTGTAGGCCCGCCTACAACTGTCACATTAGTGACACTTAAGTGAGTGTGTTTGGAATGGGGTGATGGACTTCACCAGACACCTTTCCCCAGCCCTCTCTGCCATATGGTTCTACTTGTTTCTCTCTTCATCTTTGAACCACTAAAAGAAAGTATTGCCCTCTAAAGCCTGTAGCAGTGGTGTGAACAATAGTTTCTTTTTAGAGGGAAAAGTCTTACACATTTATTTAAGTAACCCTGGGAAGCAGGGGGGCATGCTATTGACAAGCACTGCTCTAAGCCCTTTACAGGGGGGATTTGTATTATTATCATCCCATTTTACAGATGATTGACTAGGGCACAAAGTAGTTCAAGGATTTGCCCCAAATTGAGTTGGGATGTGAACCTCAGTGTGCACTCTGCCTTAAGTGATGTCATTTGCCCGCCATTCACAGACCTCTATTTACCAAGAGTTGACCTCCAACTATAATTAAAATGGATGGACACTTTTACCTAATGGCAGAAAGATAATTCCCCAGCCAAAAAACGGTTAAATTGGTATCAAGAGAGGTAAGAGGGTTATTACACAAATTCTAGAAGAATCAATTTGTTCATTTAGCAGGATTTACATACAACATATTATTCTTCAGTTAAAATACTAATGATAAAAATTAGCACTGGAGGAAAGGGTGGGTTTACAAAGAGCTAGGTAAGAGAGCAGTTACCAGAAACAGTGAAGTTGGCTGCTTACAAGAATTCTATGGTCGTTCAATAAAGCAACATAAAGCTTTGTTATTTATAGGAACTACTTACAAATTCTTTCTTCTTGTCTTAAAGAAATAGATCATAATTTTAAATATATGAGCACTTATGACTTACATTTGTAAAATTTTTAACTTTTTATTTCAGAATTCTTTTAGATTTCTAGAAAAGCTGTAAATAGCAGAGTTCCCTTATACCCATCTCCCAGTTTCCCAGTTGTTAACATCTTACATTATTTTGGTACATTTGTTATGATGAACGAATCAATACTGTTATGTTATTAACTAATGTCCATACTTTATTCAGATTTCCTTAGTTTTTAATGGAATGTCCTTTTTCTGTACAGGATTCCACCCAGGGTACCACATTCCATTTAGTTGTCATGTCCCCTAAGGCTCTTACGGTCTGTGATTTTTTTTTTTTTCTCCGACTTTCCCTGCTTTTGATGACCTGGACAGCTTTGGGTACCAGTCAGGGATTTTGCAGAATGTCCTTCATTTGGAATTTTTCTAATGTTTTCCCCTAATTGTACTGGGGTTATAGATTTGGAGAGGAAGCCTGCAGAAGAGTCATTCATAGCCGGGGTACAAGCTACCCACAGGACTTACCACTGTTGATGGTGACCTTGGTGACCTAGGGAGGTAGTGTTTGCCAGGCTACTCCATTGTAAAATTATTTGTCCCTGTCTTTCCATAAGATACCTTTTGCAAGTGAGTCACTAAATGCAGCCCACATCCAAGTAGGAAGGTGGTGGGACACTGACTTAAACTCTTATAAAGATAAATTACTTTTTCAAGTAAAGATTTCTTTACAAAAATGGACATTCACTAATGTATTTGGTAAGTTGTTTTGTAGAGGTATTGCATCTACAAGGGGACAGGAAATTATGCATCTTCCCCTATTACTGTGCTTCTATCAAGCTGGTAAGTTTCTCTCTCAAGTAAAGCAAACACAGTCATTAACTTATCTGCCCAGATCATGGCTGGTAAATACCTGGCATCTCCTCATGCATTCAGTGCAGATAACGATAATTGATAATGGCTCTTAAAATGCAGATGCAGTTCTATACATAATGACATGGAAGGGTGATCATCAAAAGCAAGTTCCACAGTAATAGCAGGAGTAAGCTCCATTTACATAAATTTATTTGCATCAGAAAAGCCTTCAAGGATAATGACGAAATGTTAATGGTGATTATAGCTGATGAATTTGGGGAGACTTTATTTCTTGCTTTTCTACATTTTCTTATTTTCCCATAACCATCATATGACATTTATATACCATTTAAAAATTCTAAATGAAAAAAAGATATAGATTCGTCAATCTGATTCCGCATTTTCCCCCACTACATTCAGAGGAACACGCGCTCCTGTGCCAGCAGAATGGCTCTAGCAAAACAACGTTCCCGAAGGCTCAGACAATGATTTAGCCACTTTTCACTTCACTCCTGAGTCACCACGGAGGCCCAGCTTCATCCTCCCATCTGGTTTTAACCTCTCTTTACCCAAATATTACTCACTTTGCCTCCTAGAACTATTCTGGTCTGGGTGGCATAAAGTAGGGCACAGAACCGTTTTAGAACTCCTGAGTAACCCACTAGGTGCACAACTTCTTAACAAGTTAAGGATTTCGTCACCAAGCGGGGGAGACCTCACGTGTCAACACACAGTGTCTGGGCTCTGCCACACAGTTCCAGCACTGGCCCCACTGTTGGTGGCAGTGTGCAGTGCCAAGCAGGTCCAGAAGGAGGCAAAGCCTGCTGCTCTGCTACAATGGAAACCAGACTCACTGATGCTCACATGACTGACCGTGGTCAAGCACAACTAGAATCCCTATCTAAGGGACCCTTTGTCACAGCCTGTTTCACAAATGCAAAGCTCAAAGCAGCAGCAAATGGCACATTCACAATGAGTCCCATCAGAGAAACAGTAATGTGACAAACGGCACCAATGTGTCTTCATGGTTATCGCCCGTGAAAGGAAGGGACTTATTGGGCATTCACTCTACTTGCTACTATCCTCACTGCTTTTAAAAAAGCTGTTTTGGCTGGGTGCGGTGGCTCACGCCTGTAATCCCAGCACTCTGGGAGGCTGAGGTGGGTGGATCACCTGAAGACAGGCGTTCGAGACCAGCCTGGCCAACACGGCGAAACCCCATCTCTACTAAAAATACAAAAATTAGCCGGGCGTGGTGGCACATGTCTGTAATCCCAGCTACTTGGGAGGCTGAGGCAGGAGAATTGCTTGAACCCGGGAGGCAGAGGTTGCAGTGAGCCAAGATTGCGCCACTGCACGCCAGCCTGGGCAACAGAGCGAGACTCTGTCTTCAAGAAAAAAGAAAAGCTATTTCACTGAAAGCTACAGATGGATTTGCCTGGGCAAGCGATGTTGTCACACAGTTTCCTGTGTCCTGCCACTCCCCTGCAGAAATCCTTTCACAAAGTTATTCAACAGCCTTTCAGTGATGATGTGTCACAGAAATACACCTCAGCATCAAAAGCAGACATTTCACATTAACTACCCAATAAAGAAGAAATCACATTATTAAAGTATCGCACTTTAAACATTTGCCATGATTGGGAGCCAGTTAATTCTCTTGAAAATGAAGTTTTACACAGAACCCTGAAGCACAGAACAAAATAAAAGCACTCTGGAAAGTATTGAAAGATAGATCCCTGAAAGTCAGTTTCCAAAGAGAAAATCCTTGAGAGAAGGGAAAAGCAAAAAAGGGAAAGAAAAAAGCTATCTCAAAAACATCGTTATCTGTGCCAGTCTGCCCAGGCCCTCTGTTTTTAAATACAATGAAGCTCACCCAACTCATGATGTTTGCAGACAGAAGGGTCTTGCACAACTGTGTCCAGTGGCTGAAGCGGGAATGGGAATCTACTCCCACACCATAGGAGGCCTCCACCTCACTGTACTTTTCACTTAAGAATCTGGGCTGCTGCCTCTGCCTGGAGTCCTTAATGGCTCAACAAGAGACCAGCAAGAGCAGGAGCAGATGCCATTGTAACCAATTTCACTTTGAAGTCACACTGGACCACAGGGGAAGAGCTAAATATAGGAGGAGGCAGGACACAGTTCACAGCTGCGCTGGAGAGAGAACAGAGCAGCCGGGGCTCGGCCTTCTTCTCGCTCCTGGTGGCCGCTCCTTCCCCAGCCCGAGCCCATCTGCAGGCACAACAGCACCTTCCACAGCACAGAATCACAGAACACTGAAGACAAAGTGACCTCACGGATTGCCTCCCCACTCCCTCATTTTGTGGGCTTTGCAAAGCACAGTCATGTACCGCATAGGGATATTTCGGTCAACAATGGACCACATACATGACGGTGGTCCCATAAAATCATGATGGAGCATATACAGAAATCTGATGCATGGCACTTGATATTGGCAGTGCAGATGAATAAGGGGAAATGTCTGATATTCAGTAATGGTGCTGGGACATTTGGTTTTCAATATGAAAATATATATATATATATGAATAAAGATATATATCTAGGATTGTGTAAGTATACTCTATGATGTTCACGCAATGACGAAATTGCCTAATAACACATTTCTCAGACCATATCCCTGTTGTTAACTGATGCGTGACTATAGTCTAGAATTCTGCTTTCTGACTCGTTTATAAATCCACTGCAAAGCTCAGAACCAGAGAGTGTGCCCAACAGCACCAAAATGCCAAACGATAAGCGTACATCCACCCACAATTCACTGACAGGGTGTCTACACTCAGATTCTTCTTTGGAGCTTATTTATTTCACATTCAAACCTAAGCAGTTTGATGATGTCATTTGCAATGCTCTTGAAAAACTAAGTAGCTCATCAGAAAAGGTGGAGGAAATAAATCACTTGCAGAGGAGTCTTTAAAACTACCAAGAAGTGACAGTTGAGAATTCAAGAGAAAAACTACAAGTAGCAGTCAAGAAAACTAACAGAATCTAGCAACCTAAAATCATCTCGGGGAACAGACCCTGGGGACATTAATGAATCAAATGGTGGTGACCGGGGTGCACAAAACAACAGTTTTTCATTCCACTTACACTCAGACATGTGCAACAGCATATGAATGAGACGCTGGCACTAAGTTTTGGCATAAATATGAACATATATATAATTTTATGTTCTAGTATTTCAAAGTCTGAATCACAAACTATTTACAAAACTCAGCTAGCCAGAATGACTAATTACCTGGGGATTTCAGGGCATAATAAATCCAACAGACTTTATTTTATTAAGAATTGGCAGCCATGGCTTCATCAATAAAAATAACCTTAATTAGGAAGCCTATCTCTCCATCTCCCTTTCCAAAAATAACTAACTTCCACCTAGAGAGCATCCTTGAGCAGTGTGATATAATGTGATACCTCTGCATGAACACGGGCATGAGGGTTATGAGTTATTTTCACAGCAGAGACAAAAAAGCAGGTCCAGGATTCTTTGATTCCACTGGCTGGAAGGAAGTAACTATGGTGTTAACACTGAGGCACACCTGAAGCCAAGACCGAAATTCAGGGTGGAGGAGAGGAAAGGAGACACAACAGGGGACCAAGATCTGTTGACAAAACTATTTCAGTCCTATTATGTCATCAGTATGAGGACAGAGAGACAATTCACACTAAGTGACCAGATGCAGTGTAAATATCTGTTTATTTAGCTTTATTGCATCAGATCATTTCTCTGATTCATGTTGTCATAATGTGATTACAAAAGACATGCTAAGTCTGGATTGATGCAAAAACAGGAGGGGGAATTATTAATAATCACAATTTATCTGGCAGACAAATTCTTTTAAGTCTATACTCCATGAGAAAAAGTAATAAACAGGCTTCACAGTGGTTTAACGTTATAAGGGACTGAAGTGGACAGAGTGACCTCCTAAGGTCTGTGTTACCCACCCTCCCCAACCCACTCCAATAAAACAAACTACAGTCAAAAATTACACAAATATTCTCAAGACAGAAACCAATACTGATGAAATTAAAATCTAAAACCATAAAAACCCTAGAAGAAAACCTGGGCAATACCATTCAGGACATAGGCATGGGCAAAGACTTCATGACTAAAACAGCAAAAGCAATGACAACAGAAGCCAAAAATGACAAATGGGATCTAATTAAACTAAAGAGCTTCTACACAGCAAAAGAAACTATCATCAGAGGCAACAGGCAACCTACAGAATGGGAGAAAATTTTTGCAATCTGTCCATCTGACAAAGGGCTAATATCCAGAATCTACAAGGAACTGAAACAAATTTACAAGAACAAAACAACCCCATCAAAAAGTGGGCAAAGGATATGAACAGACACTTCTCAAAAGAAGACATTTATGCGGCCAACAAACATATGAAAAAAGCTCATCATCACTGGTCATTAAAGAAATGCAAATCAAAACCTCAATGAGATACCATCTCACGCCAATTAGAATGGCGATCATTAAAGTCAGGAAACAACAGATGCTGGAGAGGATGTGGACAAATAGGAACATTTTTACACTGTTGGTGGGAGTGTAAATTAGTTCAGCTATTGTGGAAGACAGTGTGGCGATTCCTCAAGGATCTAGAACCAGAAATACCATTTGACCCAGCAATGTCATTACTGGGTATATACCCAAAGGATTATAAATCATTCTACTATAAAGGCACATGCACACATATGTTTATTGCAGCACTATTTACAATACCAAAGACTTGGAACCAACCCCAATGCCCATCAATGATAGACTAGATAAAGAAACTACCATACATATACACCATGGATACTATGTAGCCATAAAAAAGAATGAGCTCATGTCCTTTGCAGGGACATGGATGAAGCTGGAAACCATCATTCTCAGCAAACTAACACAGGAACAGAAAACCAAACGCTGCATGTTCTCACTCATAAGCAGGAGGGAGAGCTTTAGGACAAACACCTAATGCATTCAGGGCTTAAAACCCAGATGATGGGTTGACAGGTGCAGCAAACCACCATAGCACAAGTATAACTATGTAAAAAACCTGCATGTTCAGAACATGTATCCCAGAACTTAAAGTAAAAAAAAAAATAAATAAATAAAAGTACAGTGAGCTCCCAGCTATCTGTGCTAGAAGCAGAATAGTTTATGCACTGAGAAAAAGGAGGAGGAGAGTAGCGGGGCCCACCCTCTGCCTCCTCAGGCACTCTGTGAGGTTATCCCTGGATCCCTGGGAGCAGGAAGAGGGCTGACGGGTGAAACTGAAGACAGAAAAATATAGCTCTGAAAAGTAAGCTGCACTATAATGAAGGCGTGAAGGACACCAGCTGCACCCAATAAGAAGGTGGTGAGAGGTGCCGGAGTGTTTTCCTCGGCATGTGTTACTGACACATGTGGAACCTGTTTCTCTGTAGGTCTTTAAATCAGAGAAGATTCTCCTAGCCCTGGGATAATTAGGGACACTTATTTAAAGGTTGAGGATTCAACTACATGACCTCTGAAGAATGCATCCTTCAAGCCTGAAGATATACGTAAAGCAAAAACCATTTATTTGACATAGAATTAAATAATTTATCACTTGTGTCTTAACATTTAAGCCCATCTATAGAACTACATGAAAACAAAATTTGTCTGTTGTGGTAATTCAGGCATTCTTTCAACAAAGATTTAACATGTCCAACACATACAGCAATGCTGGAGAAGCAAAGTACAGAAAGATTAGAGAGGTGAGGGAAACACAGAATTTTCCACTGTAAGCAGCATAAGAGATTATTCAGAGGAATAGGAGGAGGACAGAATTAATCAGGGAAGACTTCTTACAAGGGATGAAATCTAAATCAAGTCTGAATTTGTGATGATCACAAATTGGCAGACAAAGAATGACAGAAAGAGAAACCAAAAGGGCATTTACACATTAAGGACTACCCATAAACAAAGGCATGGAATTGCAGTTTTCTAAAGAAAAAATTAGCCTGGAAGCTATGGAGGGACCATGATGGAGAACAAGGTCAGGCCCAGTGGACTATGGCCTTGGACACTCTGAGGAAGGTGCTCCAACACAAAGCAAAACATTGTGACTGGTTCTTAAAAAACTACTCCCGAGACACATGCAAACGCCCATGGCTCTTCCTTACCTTTCCCATAGAAGAATTTGCGGTAATAATAGGCCCCAAGGTCAATGTGTTCTATGATGTAGCGCTTCACTTTCTCCCTGTGAATAGGCTGGTTTTCTCTGGGCACTTCCAAGACGGAGACACCTGCATTTGTGCAGTGAGAGCTGAGTGACGATTCGAAAGAGCAGCTTTCCCCAGAACTGAAAGAGGATGAGTTGGCTCGAGAGAGCGCAATCCGCCTGTCGCCTTCCCCTCCAGTCTCATTTCTAAAGTAAGGACAACTAAGGACGAGGTCGTTACTTTTCCCATCACCCTCATCGGCATCCAGGTTCTCTTTGGAGTTGAGGTCCTCCTTGCTCCCTAAAGGGGACTCACAGTTGCCTGTCTGGCCCGTAGGCATCTGAGTCTGGGATGCTGCAGATGCCCCAGTGGTTATGTTTTTCCTTTTCCCCACATTAGCCCTCGTAGCCATGGCTTCGTTGATATTAAACAAAATGCTCTGGACATCATAATGTGCAAAACATCGCTGACAATTCCAAGGGCGAATGCCCCTCTCCAGTCGGCTCTCCTCCAGCTCAGACGTGAACTTGAAAGTTTCGTGCTCACTTTTAACAGTTCGAAGCTTTCGGAAGAGAGATGTTTCCACCGACTCTGATTTCAACCTCCGTTTGAAAGGCTTGTCCCTGTCTCTCCCCATCAGGAGGGCACTGTCCACATAATCTAATCCTGAGATGCGGACAAATTCTCCCCTAGAAATCTGTGCTGCTGCATGAAGGCTCGGAGAGATTGCAGGGTCACAGCGGAAAAATTCAGGGAACCCAAAAGGGACCATTGCTTTGTGGTCATAATTTTCTACTCGGTACCCTCTGAGCATAGCAAAAAAGTTTTCACCAGATAAGCCTTGCCTGTCGATGGATGAAGTACTTCCATACTCCCTGTGCAGGGCAGCCCCGGTGTTGGGGTTGACTGCATTTTGGTCTAAGACATCTTCGGCATCAATGTCACTGATAGTGACATCACTATTGCTCCTCTGTCTTATGGGGTGAAGTCCTCTTTGGGGGGAATGGACAAAGATGTCTCCGATTGTGTACTTGGCCTCCACGAAGTCCAGATCGAGCTGTTCATCTTGCTGACCTTCACTCTGGTCACTCTGCCCATTCTGCAGGACAGAAGTGATGCTTTCATAACTGGTCTGAGACCGGCTTTCCCACAGTGCCTTGCATGTTAGCTCCTTGGAACAGTCCTTTTTAGGAGGCCATTCAGACACCCTTGCTCTCACACCCATCTTGGGCACAGCTGGGGTACCATTAGCCGGACCACCACCGCCAGTCTCATTGGAATTCGAGGCATTTAAAGAAGTAGTGGGTCCCATGTTGCCATTAATGGCTTTAAATTTCCGAGCAAAATAATCATCTGACTGCATGATTCTAGGGGGATCCTTGAACTTTGAAGAGGCTCTGCCTAGCTTGTGCTTCTCTTCTTGTGACTGCCTTGGGTCACTCATGTCTACCGAGGAAGAGCCTCCAAGTCTCACCAGGAAGACTGATGTAAATCTAATTACATTGCTACCGACCACGCCATAATACTTGCAGATATAAAGGCTTTGTCTGTAGTTGTATTTTTTCTTTTCTTAGCCCAAAGCAAACAACATCCTCAGAATACAGTTTCTTCAAAGCCAACTTGCTTCTCTGTTGTCGTAATAATGTTGTACGCCTCTGTTCTTTTCAAAAGCATTCCTTAAGACATCTGGCTGGTCATGAGTATTTCCTTCACCTGAATTAAGAGATAGGAAGTAGCCATTAGCAATTAATATGCTTCAAGTTGAACACATTCTATGATAAATTTCGTATCTGTCTTTCCCCTCTGCTTCTGCCCACAAAGTTTCATGATCCACAGCACTGTTCGTAACACTCCTCCCTGGAACACCATCTTCCTTCTCTACATAGCTAGATAAAATTCACACCATACAATCAGGTATTAACTCATCTAAGAAACTTTCCTAGGATGTCTCCCACCCTAATTGCATCTAAGCAAAGAATGTTGTGATCCCACAGCACTCCATCTATATCCAACAGAGTAATTTTCCTTATCTCTAATTGCTGTTTACCAACTCACTGACTTCAAGTTCCTCTAAGCCAAGAACCATGCCTTTCAGCTGTGTACCAGCATTAACTATTAAGGTAGCCTGGCTTAAACTAGGGATTCATGAAGTATTTCAATGCATGAATTGGCTACAAGAGCAGCACAAGTCATGTATATAATGGGTTTCAGTATTATTAGTTTAGTTTCTTTCAAAACAGTTAAACTCAAAATGTCCCACAGCAAAATGGTCAATACAAGACATTAACAAGAGAGTTTTCATAGTGATCACTTGTAGTCAAATTAGAACTCACACAGATCCTCCTTTAAGTGGGAAGAGATCTTCAAGGATCTGGTATCTGATACATCAAATACATTGCAGTAGTGAGATACTGGGTAAGAAGCTGTTTTCTTGTACCTCAGTTGTCAGTTTTTCAGTCTCCAGGAATGGATTTGATAATAGCCTAAACTGTGTAGGAAATAACTATAATCCAGTCATCCTTGATCCTTTTAAACACAATAATTCTAAGAGAATTAGGTAAGATGCAGTCATTTATCTTATCTTTCTGAAAACCATGGGATAGTGTGTCTGTTCTGTCCTGTGCATGTCAGTATCTGACTACTCATTTTCCCTGTTTGCCATATCCTAAAATATCATTTTATTTCCTCCATTATGGAACAGCTCTGAGAGTAGACGATACGTTGTCATCCCTAAATTTTTTTTTTTTTTATGGTAGGGAGAAAGCAACTGCCACCATAAGAAAAATATCTGCTATTCTAAGACATTCCCACATGCTCATCTCAAAGCCATTAGGAGTCCACTGGAAAGAGTTTTTATGCTGTTTAGCTAGTTGGGATTTTAACATTTTCAAACCGAATTACAGTTATTAATATTCCTTATGCTTTGGTGAAGGATGAAGAAAACTAGCTATATTATAGCTTTTGTTCAGAAGAGGTAAAGTGATTCTTTCATTCTTCTGCCAATGAGTAATATAGCCTGTCATGAGTTTGGAAAATATGTAACACCTGAAAATGTCTGTGTCTAAATAAAGAAAGAATAAATTCAAAGAAAAATATTTGTAATTAAAGAGAAGAGTAATTAGATCAAGTGTCTACAAACATACGGGTAAATTGCAGTGTTTTCTATTTCCAGGGGTCTTTATTTTACAGGTCACTTGTGGCATAATGCACTAGAAAGTTGTATTCTTGTACATAACCAGTCCCCAACTAGAAATGACATTAACAAATGCATCCACGAAATGCAAAGAACCACTTTAATTGTTGCTTTGAAACTCCTTTATCCTTTTATTTATAAAATAAATGCCATCCAAATAATGAGGACAAACCCTACCTTCCTTTCTTTTCCGTGTCATGGCATATATTGAAATACCAGTATCTGTACAGCACAAGGGAGTCAAAAAGGAACATGCTCAGACTAGAGGCACAGTTAACAGACTGACCACCTTGGGCTCAACCCACCACCCAGAGGGAAGAGCAAACCGGCATCTCCTCACACTTGTAACCTATTCACCACGCTCCACAGGGAAGCTCTGAGTTTAAGCCACCAACTAATAGATGTGCAAAATAAACCAGAGAAACTATTAAATATTAAAACTAGGATTAGCGAGAATAAGATAATAATTAGTCCTGGAAAACCTGACTAGCTATTATAATTTACTGGGCTCAGATTCTTACTTGAAAATCTATCTTCTGAGCTTTCACATTCCTCTAACATTTGTAGCTTTCTCAATGTTTAACAGATGAAATTAAAGTTACAAAATATTTATTACACATATCTTGTGAAAAAATGGAAGACACCAATATATAGTCAAAAAATAAAGATTAGCTGGGTGTGATGGCTCACACCTATAACGCCAGCACTTTGAGAAGCTGAGGCAGGAGGATCGCTTGAGCCCAGGAATTTGAGATGAGCACAGGCAACACAGCAAGAGCCCGTCTCTACAAAAACCTGTTTTTTTTTAATTAGCCCGGCGTGGCGGTACACACCTGTAGTATCGGCTACTTGGGAGGCTGAAGCAGGAGGATCCCTTGAGCCCAGGAATTAGAGGTAGCGGTGAGCTATGATCGCACCACTGCACCCCAGCATGGGCAACAAAGTGAGATCCCATCTCAAATAAAGATTTTACAATATAAATAATATACGAAATTAAAAATAGATGAATTTATGCTGAATCTTATCATTAGGTTCACTACAAAGGATGAAAACTATAGCAAACTCAGAGCATGTGAAATTCTTTCCTAAAGGTATCTCAGAATATTCCTTCTGTTGTGAATTTTGAAAACTTGTTTGTGCTAAGAACATTAGCTTTAGTGGACAGCTACTGATTTTTCCTATCTAAAATCCACTCCCCTTTCTTCTGGTAATGGTGGCTTGAATTGCTTTGGAGAATCATTTAATTTGTGTGAGGCTAACTCCACACCTAACACGTGGCCAGTTAAGAATACCTCCTTCCCTGGCCACAATTATTGGTCCTGGGATGCAGCCCGGATCCCATCTCCTTGTAACTCCTCCCCTGAGATTTTGCTCTACTGTAGCTTGTGGAAACTCTGTGGTTCTTTAATCTCTCTCCCTCCTCCCTTGTTTTCTACGCCCTGCCCCAGACATACCAAGCGTCTTTCAAGTCTTCAAACAGCCCACTCTCCAGGCTTGTGTCCCAGCTGTTCCCTCTAAATGGAGCATCCACTGCTTGAGCTGAACTGACAACCATTCATGATCATCTCTCTCCCCGCAACTGGGTGACTCCACAACATACTCCCATGGTGTCCTCTACTTCCCAAACACCCATTTCCATGCCTTCTAAGGACTTCCTGCTTCTCTCTGTGTGTCTCTCCCCAGGAGAAAGTTCTGTGAATTTGTTTTCTTCCCCATTTTATCTACGGTGCCTGGAGCTGTTTCTAGTATGTGGCAGATGTTTAATAAATATTATTAAATTAACAAATTACTGTACAAATATATTAGGCAGTAAGTCCTTATATTAGAAAATATTTAAATGAAAAATTCTGGTGGTTATAGGAATATATTTTACAATATATTGTAACCACAAAAGTTTCATTTGATATAACTTTGTAGAAAATCACTCATTATAAAGTCAAATACCTATGAATGGTTGTTAACACTTTGCAGGACACTGTTTGCTCCATGCCATTTTCCCAAATCCTTACAACAGGTAAACACAAAATTCAGCAACTACTCCACTCTGAAAAGACAGCTTCCCACCCCCACTTCCATACCAGCCAAATGAGGTGATTACAGACATGTCTTCTAATTGTATACAAAGAAAAGAATGTCATACTTCATCTTCTAAGCATCTCGGCAGCTTCCTCTAGTAGACCCAAGGCCCATTCCCAAACATGGTAGTTAATAAAACGGCCAATCCTGCCACCAGTCTCTGTCCTCTTGTGAGCGTGGCTACGCGGCTGTGTGCAGAGCTCCATTTTCTGTAGGTGGCATGCAGCCAGCTTCCTGGGGCTCTGGATGCCTGCCCGTGAATGGTACCACTCCAAAACTGGATGGCACATGGAAACCGTGCAATCTAAAGACCTGGTCAAAAGGCCACCTCAGCTTCGTGTCCGAGTTAGAGAAGAAGCCATATGAAGCGAGGGCCCACACATGCCTTCTTCTTCGTGAGCAGCTGTGAATCACACCTGTCCTTCCCCCTCTGTGATTTTACATCATTTTGTCATTCTAACAGATTGTAAAAAACCAGTTATGAGAGTTTCAGACTGGCAAATGCAGAGTCCTCAAACAAAAAGGCCATGGTATTTTTCCTTAGAAAGCAAACGTGCTATGAAACGAAATATTAAAAAGATGTAGAATAAACTGGATCCTCATTGTACATGTATATGGTGAGTGCCACTGGTACCACCTGCTCCCTCCTGCCTTATTCTAATTAAAGGCACAAGGATACTAACTGCTTTCCTAAGTGAATAGTTAAATGGACTCATACTTCTAAGCTGGTACAGCTTGAGGAAAAACAAACATCAAGGAAAATCTGAGACTCATTTAATACCTTCCCTAGAACTTTATAAAGATGACAGACTAATCTTCTATATGAGGCCTGTGACCTTGTCAGCAACATGAATATCTTTTCTTCCAGGTAATTTCCTAAACCTAGATTCTGACCATCTGGAGGGTGGTGAGAAGACGGAGTTTGCCTTCGAATGATCTAATTAAAACAGATCTCTAGATTTTGTCTACATACAGTTTTCTTTCTGTTCTTTAAGCTAATTTTTACTGTGAGGGGCACTGGTCTTCTCCCCATAGTTTCCAATTATTCTTGCATTTCATAAAATTCTATGGCTTTGCTCCCCAGTAAAAATAAATAATTATCACCAACATTCTGCAAGCACTTTAAAAACCCAGACAGAAACCCCACAGGTAGTGGGGTGCCCCCAAGTGAGGAAGGGCTAGGGAAGGCCACCGACCAAAATTGAAGAATTTTAGAGCATGAAGGAGCTGTTCTCATGCTAACTGTCTTGGTAATAATTTTAAAGGGATAGAAAAGAAATGGAGAGCATTTGATATTTAAGCATAATTGTCTTTAAATAAGATGTTTTTCGACGTTTTCCATGAGACATCAGTGAGTCTTTAAGACCAATATTAGAGTTCTAATTGAGCCACTTATCAGGAATGCAGCTGTAGCAAATGGATTGAAAACCACAAAATGCACAAATTACGAGCCCCATTCAAGGGAAAAAATGGTTAAAATTATATAGCAGATTTATAATACAAGTATAACTATAGTAAAAAAAATGCTTATTTTTCATGCCAGTATCCCAACAGCTCTAATACTAATATGGATAATAGGACAGGGAATAAAAGGAAGAACAAACTGATCCCACTTTTACCCTCTCTCTGTGGCCAAGAAGACAATCAATGAGCTGAGGTGCTGCTCGCACTTGAGGTCTGATCACCTAAAATGCATTTACCAAAAACTAAGCCTGGTATTAAGTGAAATTATAACCAAATGGCTATAAAACAACCCATTAACTCACATTCCTATTACAGTAGAATACGAAAATCAAAGCTATAAGACAATTTGATAAGTAGCTACTATTAAATAATAATGGTAATAAATTGATATACAAGTTCAATAATATTTTTGCCTGGTAAGTTTTTGATAGATCTGAACATGAAAATAAGTTCTTAAACATTTATCTTGAATTAAACACTGGGGTGGTACCAGAGATAAATATTTTTGAACATGAGAACATAAAAACCAGCAGAATTCTCCTCTTTGGGGTTTTATAACATAGGGGTAACCTATGATCTGCGAAGGGGAATAAAATCTTTTCTTGCTGGAAAGTTCACACTGGTGTTAGGCCAACTAATTTTTAAAGTACTCCACGTGCTATTTGGAGGAATTTCTCAAGTGACATCCCAGAAAAGCTGATCTCCTTGATGTAGTTAAGAATTTTTTCATTGGAGTAAAGCAGGACCTCAATAAAGAAACCCTGAAGGATTTAGTCTCCACAAGAAACCCATATTATGAGTTTCCTTTATACTGATTTGTACTTCATAGTGAAGGAAAGGGCCCAATCAAAGGTTTGTTAAATGGAGCTCTTGGGTGACTCTGTAAGTAAAGCAGCTTGGTAAACTCCATCTGGGTGGGGTCCTGGTCTGTCACAGTCACTGCTTCTACTCCCAGTCATGCCTGACACTCGGTTGACAATCATCACTAACCTATATCCATCCATTTAAATTGAAATGACTGCAGACCAAAGTATCCCAAAGTCCTGAGTCGACACAGTATCATAACACATGCTTGGAGCACACTGATTCTCATTTGTCTCTTTTGGTCTGCTGGCTGGCTCCTCCTCCTCCTCAGGTTGTCTTTAAATGCTGATGTTTTTCAGGGTTTACCCTAGCCTGCCTTCTCTTTTAATTTTATACATTCCCTTGTGCCAACCTCATAGTCTCATATGCCATCTCTATGCTGATGACTCATAAATCCTTATCCACAAGTCCAAAGATGTCTCACAGTTGCAGGAAGATAGTCTAGGTCCTCCTGCCTACCCCTCCCTGCACCCAAATCTGTTCCTCCTCTGCCCAGCTCAGGGAAAGGCACCACCAACCACTCAGGTGCCCAACCCAAACACCCAGTGCTCATCCTGCCTTCCCTTCACAGCCCACATTCAATCCTGCCCATTTTACCTTCCAAATACTCCTCAAATCCATGTCAATTTCTTCATCTTGACTGCCACGACCAGAGTTAGAACCACTATCATAGTTCTCCTAGATTATAATGAAACCCTTCAACAGTTCCTTATTTCCCTCTGAATAAAGCTGCTTGCTTTAAGGCAGCACAAGCCACTCATGATTTGGTCCATGAGTTCCAGCCCCTTGTGCAGCTGCTGGATTTCCACCCTCCATGCTCCCATGTGTTGACCTTCATGTTCTTATCCTTTGTACATGCACTACCTCTGCCCACATCTCTTCAAGATGTATTTATTTCCTGCCTTACTAAGAGGTGTTATCCATCACACCTCAGTTCACGTATCATGTTTTTAAAAAGCCTTCTCAAACCTTAAGGTTGGGTCTAAGTGGCCCCCATAGCATTGTGCCTTTTTTTTTTTTTTACTCTAAGTTACACCAGACTATTCTATACCAGTTTATTGTTTGCTGCTATCCTCTTCTAAACTCTAAGCATGGGGAAGACATAGACATGTCCTGGCATATGGACCCTCGGCAAATATCCAGCTCTACTATATGCTGCTGAGATGATGGTAAAGCCATCTGTAATCTCTGAGCCTCAGTTTCCTATCTGTAAAGTGGGAATAATTTTATCTATTTCAAAGGATTATTCTAAAGATTCAATGGGATCTAAAGCCGTGAAATAGCTGAAAATGTAATATATGAGTGTATATTTATTGACAAACATACTGATTTGAAATTAAGCAAATGAATGAAACCCATAACTATTCCAAAGGAACCCAGTAAAGGAAATAGTCAGGTTTACAAAGTATAGGATGACTGCTCACTGATTTACACACAAAGAATAAGAGAACACAAACCAGTAACTGACTGCAGTGTTTAAGCTGATTCTCCAAGAGGCAAAGAAAAGCTTTTAGAAGCTGAGTGAGTTGCCCAAAACAATCTCCAGGGAAGCACTATTCTCTTCCCAACTACAACTTACATTTGAAATTATTTGAGAGACTTTATACTGTATTAGAATATGGCTTTTGTAAAGTTTTAAACTTCCTGTATGTCAATAAGGAACAAGAACCAATTTCTGGTAGTAAACTGCTACCCTGCCCATCATTCTGTAAGTCAAAAATAGAATAAACAAAGGGCTGTTTTGTTAAATAGATAATTTTGATCATGGAGTTTTTTGAAGGAGACAGAAGAACAGCTGTGAGTATTGACTGCTTCCCATTAAATCTTTTTAAATCAGAAAGAGATAAAAAGAGATAGCCCTCACCTCCTTCTCTCAGGAGGTTATTAGTTAATACATCTTTTCAGCAATGTGACCCCTGAATTACAGATGGCACAGCAGGAAATCAGTCATTCCAATTAATAATTTAAGCAGAGGCATTTATGTCTGAGGAAAACACAGCAAAAGGAGAAAAGAATTTCTACTTAATGTCAACCAATATAGACTGTACTTATTAATTTCATTTAGAAATCATAAAAAATAATCTGTCCTATTCTTTAAATGAATGTTTAGTGACAGTGGGTAGCAAAGAAGAGAACATGAGCATTTTATAAGAAAACTGGCAGGCTGGAGCTTTAAAAAAAATACAATCCTTCCGGAAAACATTCTGTTCTCACTAATATTATTTTCCATTGAATCCACAGTGAAAACTCTTGCAAAGTATCTGTATTATGGTGTTCAACAAAACTAACATCAATCAATATTGTTAAAAATTGAACTAAACTGTGCAAAGCGTGTCCCATCACTGTATTCTTTATTAAAATGCAACAAATAAACACAAAGCCTTCAAATCTGAAGATGCTTCCTTTCAACTTGGCATAAAGGACATGAAAAGAAAATCCTGCCAATCCATACAACAGTCCAGTATTTGATTTTTTAAAAACAGTAATTTTAGCAGCAAATACACAACAAACTCCATTCACTACTCACACACACTGAAAGCCATCTTTGCACTGTTCCCATATTTACTTGAGTTATAAGATACTGAGTTTTGCTGAACAGTTTTATGTGGTTTATTGTCTGATATAAAAAAACCCTCTTGTTACTTCAGTAAATCAACGTATTCAGTTCTACCAGGGCACTGTACTGGATGCTGTGGGTGGGAAGAGTATGAAAGATGAATGAAAGAGCTTCCTAATCTTCAGGAAGCTTAGCTGGGTAAGACATGCACATGAATAATGAGTCATAGAAGAAATGAAGTTAAAACAATAGTATACCACTTCTGACCAAGCAAGTTACAAAAGTCCATGAGTGTGTCACACATGCATGTCACACACACAAACACACTCCCCATGCCGGTGAGGGTCTGGGGGATGCATGTCCCACATGCTACAGACAGATGCAAACTGGCAGCTCTCTTTGAACACCAATAAGGTAATATATATTAAGTCCTATAAAATGTTCAAATACTCTACATCTGAAAAATCTACCCAAGAAAATAAGAGACTTATAATAAGAAAATTAAAAACTTATATAGAAAAATATTCATCCAAAACTACAAGAATGAAAAATCAGAAACAGTCTTAACAGTCAGTGATCAGGGATAAACATAGTACATATATAAAATAAATAACTACACAATCCCAATTTTTTAAGAATATGCATCAACTTGAGGATTTATAATATAATATTATGTGTAAACAGCCATATACAGAAAGGTTTATATAAGGCATGAAACAAAGTATGTTAAAAATCTATATACATAAAAATACAGGAAAGAAACACCCCCATATTATGATAGTGGTTAGCTCTTACAAGTAGCCTTATGCATGCTTTCTGCTTTCTTCCTTGTATTTTTCTAATGTGTCCAAATTATGTAACTGTATATGTATGCTAACTTACATATATACAAATAAACTTTAAATTCAATAAATATAACATTTTTTTAAGATCCTTCATAAAACCAATGGATGTTTAAATTACACAGAACATATAATATTCTTCCTTGTATAAAAAGAGGACTGTTAGCTGCTGCTTCTCCCTTTTAAAGTCCCACACTAAGATAAAGAAGAAAATGGATATTAACATTGAATGAACAATACCTACTGTTGATTAATTTAACGTTTTTTTTTTATGGCAGGTATTTACAAAAATACTGCCCTTTATTCCTATGCAACAGAAATTTTTGTTAGAATAATAATAGCTTTTTTTTTTTTTTTTTTTGGAGACGGAGTCTTGCTCTGTCGCCCAGGCTGGAGTGCAGTGGCGCAATCTTGGCTCATGGCAACCTCCACCTCCCTGGTTCAAGCAATTCCTCTGCCTCAGCCTCCTGAGTAGCTGGGATTACAGGCACCCGCCACCAAGCCTGGCTATTTTTTTTTTTTTTTTTTTTTTTTTTGTATTTCTAGTAGAGACGGGGTTTCACCATGTTGTTCAGACTGGTCTGGAACTTCTGACCTCAGGCAATCTGCCCGCCTTGGCCTCCCAAAGTGCTGGGATTACAGGCATGAGTCAACACACCCGGCCAATAATATTTTATACTCAAATATATTTTCACAGGCCTTACACCCCACGAGACGCTTGGTGCACTGCAAGGCTGCTCATGTCGTAGACAGCACAAAAGATTAAGAATTAAGAGCTTTGCATCACATCTCTGGAGACATGACTGGGACCCTCAGCAGGCCACTTACTTCAGTTTCATCTGCACAATGGGGATCATGTCTGCTTAGCACACTTAGATAACTGTTGTGGGACCAGTGAGGAAGCACACATAAGTACTCCAGAAGATTTAACACCACAGATGCAAACTATGAGTCTAATCACCACCTGACACCTGAGCAAGCAGACGCCTGGATAGGCAGGGTGGAGCGATTTACTCCCGTGCATATGTCCAGTCCTTAGCTAGTGTTCTTTCCATCTCACTGAGGAATAACTTGTGCCCAATTAAAAACAGCTTTGAGGAGCCAAGAGAGGAAGGCAAATCAGGAAGTGGGATAGACCAAGCTGCTGGCAAAACTGCAACTGAGGAAATCAGTATTATCTACATAAAAGGTTGCCCTTAGGTTCTAGACCAATATTCCACTTCCTAACCTCTCTGAGAAGTGCCTAAGACTCTCCTAGTCCCTGTAGTGCCAATACTGAACGCCAGTTAAAGTGGACTGTGCTGCAGGAAAACACAGACCCGGCCTCCCCAGGCCTGTATCTGTCATCCTACCAGGGACCCTGGTGCTTGGCAGCATCTGAGTCTAACTCCTCAAAAAGCAGGCCAGATGGTGTGTACACCTCTCATGGGATCCCCTAACCCAGCGGTCCCCAACATTTTTGGCACCAGGAACCGTTTTCGTGGAAGACAATTTTTTCACACACTGGAGTGGGGTGGGTAGGGTGGGTGGCTTGGGATGAAGCTGTTCCACTTCAGATCATGAGACATTAGAGTGCTCAACCTAAATGTATGTGAAGCTCACAGTAGGGTTTGCACTCCTATGAGAATCTAATGCTGCAGTTGATCTGGCAGGAGGCGGAGCTCAGGCAGTAATGCTCGCCTGCTGCTCGCCTCCTTCTGTGCAGCCCGGTTCCTAACAGGCCATGGGCCCCTGCCGTAACCCACTGCTTGAGAGTTCTTCCAACTCCAGAATCTATATACCGTAGGCCTGTGACACATGCCCTGCCCTGAGTTGATAACCCTAAAATTAGACTTATTCTCCAAGGTGGGCCTAGGCAGCAAGTCACTCATCTGAGACTGTGCCCCCCTGACCGGTATCTGAGACAGGGAGGCCAGGGCTGTGGATTTTTACATCCTCTCACTGCAGATGTCCCTGCCCACATCAAGACTGTGCCCAAGGACTCTTCCCTCCCAGACTGAAGTGTCCTGCTAAGGGGTCAGTACAGTCCTCTTCTGAGGGGGCCTCCCCAAAGCTTCCCATACCGCCGTCTTCTTGGGGGCCTGACAGAATAAAGACAAAGTACCAGAGTGTCAGTCCAACTACTCAGGAACTGTCACCAAAATAAAGCAATTCCACACGGACAGACCAGCAGAATGATCTGGTGGGTGAAGAAAAATATTAAAAATACTGGCTCCACTGTGTCAAGTCTAAATTCTATGTCCCTCTGCTGCAATAAACTTGTCCTAAAATAAAACAAGAAACTTTGTGGTACAACTTCCAAGGTCACTAAATTAAAAAGCAGAAAAGAGGACAGGAGCAGAAAGGGCTCCATACTTTTTAATTGTCTGGTTTGACTCATAATTGTCCCAGCTTTGTTGGCCAGCTCATTGGATTCTTCAGAAAACAAAGTTTCCTGGAAACTCAAATCCAGGAGTAATGCTAGGATCAATCCTCAAGAAATGTTTTCCCATAATGTACTTCTTTAGGTTTTGCTTCCAGAGGGATACCATTTTAATTCACTAGGCACAGGGAGCAAATTCCAGGGCACTGAGGGGAAGACTCTTCTTTAAACATACTGGATTTGGAATGTTTCAAGTATGAACTGAGTGCTAAATATGAAAAGGAAACTTAAACCACTTTTAATTACAGATGCCCACTAATTAATTTGGCTTGATTATTTTTAAGAAGTTCATAACACTAAAGATCTTTACCTGAAGAAAAAAAGGAAAAAAGAATGACCACTTAATATGATATACAGCATTTTCTAAAATAACAAGAACACCAAAAACCCCATTTAATTCTTCTTCTTCTTCTTTTTTTTTTTTTTTTTTTTTTTTGAGACAGGGTCTCACTCTGTTGCCCAGGTGGGGGTGCAGAGGTGCAATCAATAGCTTACTGCAGCTCAAACTCCTGGACTCAAGCGATCCTCCCACTTCACTCTCCCAAGCAGCTGGTATTACAAGTATGTACCACCATGCCCAGATAATTTTTTAATTAAAAATCCCATTTTCTTATTAAAAATATGATCATGGGAAATTACTGCTTTCTTTGCATTTCCAAGTTAATGAATAAGAGTTGGATGCAGAAACTGTGGTTATCACAACTCTGAGACAAACAGAACACCCAACAGTGAAAACTGATCTCTTGTTAGCAAGTAAGCAAGTTTTATATATATATATATATATATATAATCAACTTTCTAAAAACCACAGGTAGACCCAAAGAACTTGTCTGAATATTTAATTATAAAATGTTAGTATTAACATAATTACATTTATTGAAGGATTTACTATTCCCCAAACCCTTGTAGGTTCATTCGATCCATAAAAAATCTCCGAAGAGACAAGAAAGAGACACTTCTCTCCATTAAACAGACAAGGAAAAAGTCTTAGGGCAGGAAAGTAAGCATTTGCCTGCAGTCAAATGACTGTGTTTCCAGAGAATCAGAACTAGAATCCAAGTTGCTTCATTTTTTTCTACTGTCGCAGGTTCTCAAATTTACACACAGCTTTTTAAAAATTAGAAATAAAAACAAAACACAAACATTACTGGCTTCATCTGTTCAAAAGAACCCAACCTAACCCAAATTTATTAACTTATAGACAAATTCATTAACTTCAAGCATCTCTCCTGCTCCTCCTTCCTGTAACGGGCAACTCTCCTCTTCATCCTTCTTAGAGCCAGACTAAGAGTAGAATTGGACAGGCCTAGGAAAAGGCAGCAGCTCCTCCAGCCTCACATCACTGGTGAGACCCATGCACAGACCTGGCTTACAATCAAGTGTGGCACTTTCTTCCCATTTGGCTCCTGCTAGTTACCCATATAACCCAAGGAAACCTCAAATGTTTGACTGGCAGAGCAGACTGGACATGATCCCAGGCATACCACCCTCAAATAACATCAAAACTTCACAACACCACTCCCAATCGCATTTTACTGACACTTTTGGTTTCTGCCTCAAAGAAACATTTTTTCTTCCCTTGTACAGAGAGCACTGTGTGGTGTTTTGGGTGTTAACCACCCACTTAGACTCACAATCAGAACATGAGATCTTAAGGGAGATAATCTGTTCTCACACCCCCACTTTATAAACCCAGAAGTTAAGTGATTTGCCTAAGGTTACAACACTAGTCAAGAGCAAAATGGATGTCCCACTGGGGTCCCAAAATGCTAACAGTTAGGTCATTGTTCTTTATACTTTTTATTTGAATGTTGTATTAATGAGAATGATCAGTTATGATACACAGGTGTCTCAGTTGGGCTGAAAATATCTACATGATCACCCTGTATGCCCTCCACCTCTATGTTTTTGCTTATGCAGTTCTCTTGCTTGGAATGTTTTTCTTCTTCCACTGGAAGTGGCAAATCTAACACACTCAAAGCCATAATCTATGACTCTTTTCCCCTCTAACTTTCCTCTAAAACTTGACCTTCAAAATACGTTGTGTTCCTTTACTATGTAACGGTATACATTATATTCATCCATTGACAATGACATGCCACTTACGTACCTATCGACCTACTAAGTATGAAGCTGGGCACAGAAGAATGGGTGACATGGCTCCTGGCTTGGCGGAGGCCAGTAAAAGCTTCCAGGTAAAACACCCTTGAGGAGCATGGGCTCAAGGGTGCCAGAATACAGCTTGGCTAAAAGAATGCCCTGCTAAGATTTCCTGCTGTTGTTCTTGGCTCATGCTAGCTAAGATAATGTCCAGAGTTGTGCACCTTCTCATCCATATTCTAGCTGCTAAGATTAAAAGCCCATACATTTGCAAAACTGGAAAGCAGCAAGGATATCACGATAGGGTGGCAAATCAGACATCACAATTTCTTTCTCTCTTTCCTCAGCTAGGAGTAAATAGTTTTAAGTTTTGCTTTTATTCTTATGGAGGAAAAAAAGGTATTGCCAACTTTGGCCAACAGAAGGCAAGAGAAAGCCGTAAGAGATCTGTATTATGCTCTTGAGCACGGCCCCACCTATTGCAGAATGATGTGTCATCAGCAACCTGAAGCCTCATTTCACCATCAACCCCACAGTTTGGGAGAGAAGTGCTGGTTCCCAGACTTCAGTATGAGCAGTCACTGGTGATTAAAGCATAACTTCTCTGACCCTTGTCATTGAAGGTGAACCAACCTGTTTCTCCTGCAGTCTTTCTTGTATAACCAGAATCCTCATCATCTCTAGGGGCAGGAAGCCTCACCATTTATTCTTTTTTTTTTTTAGATGGAGTCTTGCTCTGTCGCCAGGCTGGAATGCAGTGGCACGGTCTTGGCTCACTGCAACCTCCACCTCCCAGGTTCAAGCGATTCCCCCGCCCAGCCTCCCAAGCAGCTGGGACCACAGGCGCACACCACCACGCCCGGCTAATTTTTTTGTATTTTTAGTAAAGACAGGGTTTCACCAAATTGGCCAGGATGGTCTCAATCTCCTGACCTCGTGATCCACCCGCCTCGGCCTCCCAAAGTGCTGGGATTACAGGCGTGAGCCACCGTGCTGGGCCACCATTTATTCTACTTGCATTTACAACCCCTGTCACATTTTAGCCATGGAGTTTCTCCTTTAAGCACATGCCTGAGGCCCTCCATAAAAGCGTAGTACAACTAGAAAGGGTTCTTAAGTCTTCACAACAGATTTCTGAGCAAAAAGGTAAATACTCCTTTTCGCTAAAAAAAAAAGGTTAACAAGTTTGGGGTTGTTTTGCCCAGCGGTTCCCAAATCTGACTACACATTTTTAAAATTACCTAACAGATGTTTATACCCTGCTTCCTGGACTCTAGCCCCAGAGATTCTGGTTCAGAGGACCTGGAGCAGCCCTGGAATCTAGAATTTTAGAAGGGAGTTGTCATGCACAAATAGGATTGGAAGCTATTGGCTTCAACATAATTCTAATAGAGGAAAACTAAAAAGTTAAATACATGACTCTAAAATCTCCGTTTTCCCCTCTCACAAGTACTGAACCATCTTCCATTTAAGCAGCTGAATGTAGTACAATTTATTTACTCACAAGGTTCTTTAGTTTTGAAGAAATGAAAATGTGAAATTGGGAACGCTCTAGAAATCATTTATATGAGTCCAAAACACTATAAATTTCTACTGTGGTAACAGTAGCCTGGGTTTGCTCTGCTGTCAAAATATACTCTAAATTGCAACATTTACTGAGCATTCTGTAGGTGCCAAGCACTTTCTAAATGCCTTTTAAGTATTTGAATTTTGATAAACTTATATGATAAGAATTATTATTATCCCCAATTTAGAGTAAAACTTCTCAAGCCTCTAAATGCAGCATTTAAGGCCCTACCCAAATTTAGCTGCATTTTACCTATCCGCCTTACCAACCAAAACCACTTAAGACCACCTTAAAATCTTCTCAAATACACCTGAGCCACCCCAACCTCCCTAGCTTCCTTATTGGAGTTCCCTCCCTGCAATGTCTTTTCCATCCCCTTTCTTGTGATATTAAATATGCAGACATTGACGCAAGACCTAAGTTCAAATGCTGGCTTAGCCATGTACTCACTCTGCTCCTCTAGGCACATTTCTTAAACCCTCAGAATCTGTTTCATCATATGTAAAGGAGGTTTTATTTTTTCAACAAATACGTATACGTGACTACTACCTTCCAGGTACTAGTCTAGGATCAAAGATGCAGTAATGAAAGGCCCTGGAAAAGGTCCTGCTCTCACAGGACAAGTATTCTGGCAGAAGAAGTCATGTAATACAGAGGAACATCTTTTGGTTCTTCTTAGTAGTTGTGGTTGGTAATGTGGATAGGTAGAATGCAACTGAATTTGGGTAGGGTCTACATAACTTGTTCAAAGCGACTGCTATCATGGGACAGGATCAGAAAGGTTGGGGACATGTAGGTGCCGGTATGGGCGTTAACGGAAGGGTACGGTGGCTAAGGAAATACCTGAAGAAAAGGATGAGGAAATCAGCCACACAGATAGAAAGGAAGGGAGAGGGAGGAGGGGAAGGAGCTCCAATCAGGGACTGGAATTGAAAGCAAGCCTGGCACATGCAAAGACAGCAAGCACACAGGTTAGAAAGGTAGCGGGCTCAGATCCGGGAGGGACTGATGGGCCACAGGAAGGATTTGACTTTCATTCTGGACAGTTCTAAGCAGAGGAGTGAGATCTGACTTAGCCATTCTGTTTGCGGTGATGAGGAAAGGCTCCAGGGAACTAAGATGGGAAGGATGGAGGTAAGGCCACTGCAATAATCCAGGCAAGAGAGGGTGATGGGGTCTTGAACCAAGTGGCAGCAGTACAGATGGTGAGAAGCAGACTGCTTCCTGGTGGGAGGATTGAACTGGCAGCTCTGGCTAATGAATGGGCTGAGCAGGAGAACAAGAAAAGTCAAGAATGACTCCAGGATTTTTGGCGTAAGTAACTGAGAGGATGAAGTTGACCTTTATTAAGATAGAGAAGATTGTAGAAGGGAGTAGCAGTTACGGTTAAATAGATCACATGTGCAAAATGCTTATGAGCACAAGGCCTGAGACACAGCAAGAACTTGATAAATACTAACAGTATTTTTGCTGTTGTCATCATCAGTCCACATGAAACCTTGAAATCTTCCAGCTCACACTGATCACTTCTTACTGTAAACTCAGCTATATGTTCAAATCATTTGGGCACATAATAAATGCTGACTTACCTTGCATTTTTGTGCAGTTTTTCAATGGGGATAAAAAAATAAATTTAGCTTCCAGAATTGTTTGTGTTTCCTGAAGGCAGTAAAGCACATCCCATAACACTTCTTAAAACAAACTGAAATGTCTAGAGAGTCAGAATTTGTATTTTAAAAAACAAAGATCCTGAGGCTTAGCTGCTATATGACCCAATCACGGCAAATGCCCAGAGTAATATAAGCAAAAGCAAAACAAAACCCAGATTTCATGTCCTTGTTAAAAACACTGAGGTACAGCAGAGCAATGAGATGCCTACCTCTACTGCAGGAGAAACGCTAAAGAGAACTGTGGAACTAAGGTCCCTGAAATACAGAACAAGATGAGGCTGGGGTCAAGACAAAACCTGCCTTCTGTGGTACAATGCTCCATAATGACATTAGCTGTACAGATCTTTAAATCCCGTCAGATTTTGAAAATGAGATTCTAGAACTGACAGAGGGCATGGGTCAGAGGTTCCCAAAGGCCCGTCTGTGGACCAGTGCCAGGTCAGTTGCTGGAGAATTAGCTGAGGAATTTGTTAAAAACACAAATTCCTTAGCCACTGTCCTAGGAATCCTGACCCATGAGATTGGGTGTGGGGCCCCCAGACAGTTTTTAACAAGTTCCTCAGGTGTTTCTAGTGTTGATTCATCTTTGAGATCCACAGGGTAAAAAAATAATTTGGAAAATATAAAACATTACACAAGCATATGGTATGATTAAACCATTAATTCAGAAGTAGCATTAATGATTGAGTTACCTTTTAAAGTCACCCTATACTTCCTTCCCTATCACCCAGTGATGATGTTTAAGACCACAGTTCTCCTCCAAGTGCTGGATCCCAGGTGGCCCACCACTGGGCGGGGCAATGATCTCTACAGAAAGGTGGACTGCAGCTATCACTGACCTGAAACTGGAGTCAGCACCTGAGTTGAATATACTGTATGAGATGGTGGATATAAGGTTTCAGTTGGAGCAGGTGTTCTGGGCCAGTGTTCAATCTAAAAATAGGAGAGATAACAGGCAAAGTGTTGGTTAAATCACAGAGGACAAAGCTGAGGCACATACAGATGTCCAAGGAAGGCAGAAGGGGATAAAGAAAAAGGTGTCACACAGCCTCTGCTAGACCCTTGATACACAACTTAGAGTGTTCCACAACTTCCATGTAAAGACAAGAACACTTTGCTCAGAGACTCCAAAGACACTTATCTAAAGCTGAACAACGAGTTAAGCAGCAGAGCAAGAATCCAGTAGCAAGTCTGTCTGGCTACCTCCAAAGGTATACTCTTGCCAACAGGGAATATATATTAAAAAATATTAGATGCAAGGCATCCAGGTTCATGAATTGAAAACGTAATACTTTTAAAATGTCAATGCTATGCAAAGCAAGCCACAGATTCAATGTAATCCCTATCAAAATCCCAATAAGGTTTTGTTGAAATAGAAAAAAAAACTATCCTAAAATTCATATGAAACCTCAAGGGACCCCAAATAGCCAAAACAATCTTGAAAAAAAAGAATAGAGCTGGAAGTCTCACATTTTCTGAATATAAAACTTATTACAAATCTACAGTAATCAAAACACTGTGGCATCAACATGAAGACAAACATAAAGACCAATGGAATAGAAGAGAGATCCCAGAAGTAAGCCCTCACATGTATTGTCAAATGATTTTCAGCAAGGGTGCCAAACCATTCAATGGGGAAAGGACAGTCTTTTCAACAAATGGTGCTGGGAAAACTGGCTATCTATATACAAAAGCATGATGTTGGACCTTCAGCTAACGGCATATACAAAAATTAACTAAAAATGGATCAAAGGCCTAAGCATAATTACTAAAACTATAAAACTCATAGAAGAAAACACTGGAAGAACGCTTCACCATATAGATTTGGCAATGATTGCTTGAATATGACACTAAAAGTACAGGCAACAACAACAAAAATTAATGAAGTGCCCTTCATCAACACTGAAAACTTTTGTGCATCAACGGACACTATCAACCAAACAAAGTGAAAAGGCAGCCCATGGAATGGGAGAACATATTTGTAAACCATGTATCTGATAAGCAGGAGTGTCAGCAGCACACTGTGTCCCACTGGCCCCAAATGCCTGCCTGAGGCTGGGATATCACCACCATGGCGGGGTCTTGCTGACTCTAGCAAGGGTGAGTCCTTTGGTGCTGGACCTCTGGGGAGACTCATCATTCCAGCATCTACATCCAGCCTCATGAATCCTCCCGTTAACACTGCTCCCCTGACACAGATCCCAGTTCTTCACAATTTCAAGCACTTCCCTCGCTATCTGAACAGTATATGAAAATAAATTATTTGCATGGAGTATCTGTTAGGCTTTGACAAATGGAATAAATCAGTTGTAACTGGTAGCTTTATACTCACAATCTAAAATGGCAATTTCTACTCATAAATGTAATACGCTATGACAGGACAGAATTACTTCCACTGACAACATCAGGTTTTGATCCTACAGTAATGTACAAGATACAATTCCCAATCACCAGACTCTAAGCTGTGTAAGTTCTGAGTCCACTAGTCCAAAGAAAGATAAAAGGGAATTTAATAAACGGCTGAAACATCAAGGAGCTAGGTTCCCAGTCTGCCAGAGAAAGTACGCGTATGCCTAAGAAACATCCACAACATATGTTTTTTTTTAAAGCTGTCATAATTTAAAGTCTCTCTAAACATCTACTGTTTAATCTAATTTTCCTTCATGAATGTCTGGCTTCAGCTCAAATTGAATCAACATTTCCATTATAAATCTCTATTTTCACATGTTCCTGGTTTGATTGTAAAATGTCTTTAGTCTGAAATATGACACAAACAGAAGCCGGAATTTTAATGTTCTTCATTGGCAAAATGGTTTCACTACAAAACCAAAATCGCAGTTTTCTCAAGCCAAATGTCTAGAAATTAAGCAAAAAGAAAAGTAAAATTCTCTAGAAAAGTTTTCAGTTACAAATGCTATCCCAGGTTCTAAAAGAATAATCTGCCAAGTCATTATTAATATTAATTGCTACACATCTAAAGAAATTACATTTAACTTGAATATGAATATATACCATGAGCCTATGTCCAAATGCAACTGAATGCCAGACATTCAGTTCACATCAAATGCACCGTGCCTCACAGTAAGGAATTCTGTACTCTATCATTGATGTCTTTTAACAAGTTACTTTGTGAGGTATGTATTATGAATGTTGAAAAGCAACAAAAAATTGGCATTAGTCATTTTTATTAGGCCTACTGATTTTTTACATATTAAAACAGAAATATAAGTGAGGCAGACTGCTCATAAAAGAGATTTAATGTTCCATCAAAGTTAGAAATGTTAGAGTCTCAAGTGACTTTCTCCTTAGGGATATGTTCTGTAGCTAAAACAGGTGAGAATTCTCTGAAACTTGGATTCCAGTGGTTGACAGAGCAAAGGGCACACACTGCCTGGGAAGGCATACTGAGGACCTGCCAAGGAATCTGGTGAGAAGAGATTTGGCTGCTAGGTCAGAGACAAGGAGACCAAGGAAGCACGACAGATCTGAGAGCGCAGGAGCTGGGAAAGGGCGAAAACAAGTCTATGTTATCTAAAAGTCAGGTTATCCCATTCCAGCTTGGGCCTGAGGCATCTCTCGCCTCTCTCCCGAAATCCTTCACTCTCTTTTGGCAATGCAGCCTCATCTCAGTAACCATGAAGCAGAATATTCTTACCAATGTCTGGTGTATGTAGATGGTTTTCACAGGCAAAACACCTTTAAGGAAAACTGGAGGGAATCTAACTTAAGGCCTGGGAATTCAGAGATGCTCAAAACTATATTCTAGCCGTAAGGGTCCCAACCAACCACTCTCCTGGCCTCTTGAATCATTGCTTATGAGGAACTACTTTCTTCTCACCCTGTTTCAGATGGTATGTGACACCAGTGATGCAAAGCCCAGGGACTGAGAGAAATCAGCCCACCAAATAAAGAAGCCTTTAGGCTGAAATGAAAGCCAGCCTACACCATCATTAAAAATCTGTCAACGGACTGGTGAAAAAGAGTTCTCCAAAAATGAAAAATAAAACAAACAAACAAAACGACAGAAGTTCTAAGTCTAATAAGCTCCTTCTTTTTCTCTTGTAACTGCAATATTGCTATGGATGATTTCACTATATAAGTAATAAATAAAAAGTTCTTCTGCCTAAAAAAAAATAAGACGACTGACAGGAGGAGTAGTTGAGGTGATAAAGAGTCAAAAACCAATTTCTCTTGTGTCCAAATATTTGGGATGTCTTATGGCTGAAGATGTTTTATCTCAAAGAATGTGCTTTAATTTGGAACTATTCTTTTCTATACCACATCATGTCGTAATTACATTATGGGCCAAGCACGGTGGCTCACGTCTATAATCTTAGCACTTTGGGAGGCCACAGCAGGTGGATCGCTGAAGCTCAGGAATTCGAGACCAGCCTAGGCAACATGGTGAAACCCTGTTTGTACAAGAAATAGAAAAATTAGCCAGGTGTGGTGGTTTGCATCTGTAGTCTCAGTTACTTGGGAGGCTGAGGTGGGAGGATCACCTGAGACCTGGGAGGTTGAGGCTACAGTGAACTGTGATTGTGCCACTGCACTCCAGCCTGGGTGACAACGTGAGACCCTGTCTCAAAAATAAATAAATAATAATAATTACATTATGTATTAATTTGGTGGGACCAAGCAATTTGTAAATACAGAATGTCCTACTTCTTGGAACAAGAAATTCTGATCAATAAAATTAAGAAATATTCCTATGTACATAAGTATGCAACTAAACCAATAGTATAACAGCAAAACATCAGAGTTGCTTAAGAAGAACAATAGTAGCAATACATCGCTTTATAGTGCCCACATTAAAAATATACTAAAATTCAAAAGATAAAAAAAAAATGAAGCAACAAGGAATACTTCACAAAATAGGAAAATGATAAATTTTCTTAATTTAAAAATCCCTGAAGCTTTGGTTTTGTGTCCGTCACCCTTGTTTAGCAGGAGCAATGGTGTAATAATGGCTAGTAGCACAGATGGGCTGTGGAGTCAGACGCCAAGGTCAGAACCACAGCTCTACTTACTAGACCATGTGTAGACATGCAAGTTAGCTAACCTTTGTGAGCCTCGATTCTCTCATCTGTAAAATGGAGAATTAATAGGACCTAACTCACAGGACTGCTGTGGGGATTAAATGAGCTGAGGCAGGTAAGGCTTAGAATAGTGCCTCCCATACGCAAATGTGTTCCACAGTTATTATTGTTCATTCATGATCCTTAAACTATCTACATATAACCTTTCTACCTCTAACTATGATATTTAAGCTTGTCCATTTTTCATTCACTGATTACAGACTTCCTAAATGACAAAAATAACCTAAGTGTAACCCTTTTTGTAATAAACATCATTTATTTAAGTTATCTGTGACAATCTCCCAGGCAAGTTCTTACCCCATCAGTGAGGAAATGCTAGGTTCAAATCCTCATTAACATTGGTTACACAGAAACAACAAAAAGTCTCAGTAATTTCAAAGGCAGCAGAATAAAGCTGAAATATCTCCATTTTGGCACAGGTGGGATCACGGTCAGGCCAGGATGGGGCCAGGATGGGGATCTTCTGCTGACACCTAGCTCAGCAGGCCATGGGGCTGTTGAGGGCATGCACCAGAATCACTCAGGCATGTCAGACAAGAGAAGAGGGGGTATGGGGCAGATGAGGAAGGTCTCCTAACCCTACAAACACCCACTTCTCTTCTCCAACACAGAGAACAGTAACTGGCCCTCAGCAGGGGTTATACCTCCAGAATGACTCAGAGGGAAAGAATGCCTGGTGCCTCCGCAATATCTGATCCTTTCAAAGCATCGTTCCACATGAAGGCACTCACTCTGTATGGCACCAGCTCCCTTTCCACAGAGTCCCCCAACACCACTTTCCATTAAAACCTTTTCACCACTGGCACTCAAATGGCCTATGTAAAATTACTGGTTTCAAATTATCCAAAGAGAAGTGGTACAGAGAATGCTGCCATCTCTATGCTAATTCCTACTTCATATAATCTTAAAGTCCCCCAGGCTTAGTGTTTTGTGACCCCCCCTCCCCCACTATACACACATGTGCTTGTATACACACATAACTGAGAAGAAAAACTTTCAATAATTTGATGATCACATGAAGGTACAATTTGAGTAGAGAGCTCAAAATTTCCCAACCATCAAGAATGTGACAGTGGGTGGGTGAGCTGACTCACCACTAATGACAAAGACAAAATTTGACCTCAGCATCTAAACCTGCAAGCGTATATAGAATATCATGTTCTTTTTTCTATTTTTGTTACCTATTCAGACAGCTGACGAATATTCCCAAGATGCAAGTTTTATCTACCTTATTTTCTACTCCTCTTAATCCTGTTTTGATTGCTGGGGGAAGTAGCAGTCACATGCTCTGTTTGTGGCAACACAGAATGAAAATCCTCTCCTCAGAGTCTCCTCGTCAAGCAAACAGCAAATCTGTTTATTCATCATCTTCGGTTCACAATCTCCAGCCTTCTACCAGGCTAACTACACAAACCGCTGCAGGTGAAGCAGCTCAACTCCTCTGTCTAACCTGATGCCAGTTGAAACCCTTGGGGTAGGGTCTTATCTAGGGCTTCTTGGTAACTAGTGGACACCTTAGGCAAGGCCTTGAGAGGTGCGAAACAATCTGAGTCCTTCCTACTACTTACAACTGCAAAAAGTCTAAGGGTCTGTCACTCAAAGGTCAAACGAGAACACTCAAAATCACTTAAACTTCATTTGGTCAAGAGAAATTAAGTAGTTTCCTAAAAGTCAAACAACCCTGAAAATGACCTGAACATCTTCAAGGACGGGAGAAGACATAATAAGAGATTTCCCCTTCTGCATCTTTGCCTTCAATTCTGCACTCCCCCGAGTAGATCTGGGCCCACTACCTCAGAAATTTGGTACAGAGCATCACCAGGCCAATATGCATGAAGACTGAGGTTTTAAAGGAGAGGATCTCACGCAGGTTGTACAAGAAGAGCAAACACAACTGACCTGGAGAGCAGCTCTTCTCTCATTCTGTGCTCTCCCCATTCCCCCAGGCCCACCCTCCAGAACCAGCTAGAGTTGGGATCCCAGCTGCACCCTGTGGCCAGCCTCTTTCTACCACGAGTCTGACGACAGCCCTCTTACTTCAGAGAGCCCCCCAGTGACCTGTCAATCTAGATCTGGCTCCTCTGAGCTTCATTCTACCAGTTTTCATTACGCATTTTTTCTTCTGTGTGGACTACAAGGTCAAAACAAAAATGAAAGGTCTGTGTCTAACTTGTTCCTGCAGTATGGAGAAAGCTGCATGGTGCCCAATGCGAATGCCTGTATAGCGTGTAAAATAGTGTCCAGCTCCCAGCAAGTTAAAACTTCAAATAAAGGCCGGGCACGGTGGCTCACACCTGTAATCCCAGCATTTTGGGAGGCCGAGGTGGGTGGATCATAAGAGGTCAGGAGTTCGAAACCAGCCTGGCCAACATGGTGAAACCTCATCTCTACTTAAAATACAAAATTTAGCCGGGCGTGGTGGTGGGCACCTGTAATCCCAGCTACTCGAGAGGCTGAGGCAGGAGAATCACTTGAACCCGGGAGGTGGACGTTGCAGTGGGCCGAGGTCACGCCACTGCACTCCAGCCTGGGAGACAAGAATGAAACTCCATCTCAAAACAACAGCAACAACAAAAAAACTTCAACTAGAAAGCACCAACACTGAAAGCAAGATGGCAATGAAGTGGCACCTTCAAACTGGAGTATTCATTTCACTGAGCCAGCCTCTGCCATGACAGCCTCTTTGCAAACCTTCATTGGTTTCGATTCTCCAACACCCGTTGCCTCCATTGCCCATCCCCTCTGAATGAGGGAAGGAATTCACAGTCTTCACAGTCAGAGGGCACTCAAGTGAGTCAGGAAAATAAGAGAGCAAAGGCCAACCAGGGGTATCTCTGGCAATTTCCATAAGTGTTAGAGGAGAGGACGGCAGAAAGATAGAATGGAAGGAAAGGGAGAAGGGCAAGCAACTGGGGAAAAAACAGAAACATGCAAGAAGAAAACTGAGCCTACGGAGAAAGAAATCAGGCAAATGCAAGAGAGAGAGAGAAAGGAAAGAATACGGATCTAGTTGGTGAAATACGGTGATAAAATTTAAAATTTGACCAGAATTATCACTATCATTATAAGCAATAGTCAATGCCTTCATCAGGCACCTTGCTATTAACTTACAGAACACTCACTGTGTGTTGTTTGTTATATCAAGTCTTTAGGAATATATCTATCATAATAAGGAAGAAGATCATGTCTTTTGCAGGGACATGGATGGAGCTGGAAGCCATTATCCTCAGCAAACTAACACAAGAACAGAAAACCAAACACCACATGTTCTCACTTATAAGTGGGAGCCAAACAATGAGAACACATGGACACAGGGAGAGGAACAACACACACTGGGGCCAATGAGAGGGGCAGGGGAAGGGAGAGTATCAGAATAAACGGCTAATGCACACCGGGCTTAAAACCTAGGTGATGGGTTGATAGGTGCAGCAAACCACTATGGCACACGTTTACCTATGTAACACACCTGCACATGTATCACATCACATAACATAACATTAACATAACATAACATAACATAACATAACATAACATAACATAACATAACATAACAGAATATATCTTCTGGGCTTGCCATTTATTAATAATTTATTATTTTCAACAAGAAAATAGCTCAGATAGTCTACTAGGTATATTTAACAAAACACCATTTGAAAATAAAGAAGACATAAAACCTTTAACAGTAGGTTCTACGGGTTTCCTGAACTCTAAGGCCCAAGTGCAAGTAAGGCTTTCTTTGATGAACCAGATAGATAATTTATTTTTCCCCAAAAACTCCAGGTTCACTGATGCTGAACAAGTCCTAAATTCTTTTCTTGTCAATATCTGCATCTCTTAGTTAAGACAGTAAGTCGATATTTTGGTTCTTGTACATTAAAAGTGTTTTAAACTTAGACTTCCCCATCAACTTTATCCGCTCATTTGATGCTTTTTACTGATATTTAACAAAAAGAAAGAAAGAATGAAAGAAGAACATATTAAGACCTTCAGAAGCCCAGTTTTCAGTACACCCTCTCAAATAAGCCCTCTCCAGGAGCATTCTTCACAAGAGTAGAGCACATTTCTACAATCTAGGTGGCAAGGACTGGCTTGATCCTACAGATTTAAAAAAAAAAAAAAAAAAAAGTAATTCATGAAGGGGAACTGGGGCAGGGAAAGAATGTTAAATCTTGGGCTGAGCCTTAAATCTCTCTCTCTCTCTCTCTCTGTATAGTTTTAAAAATACCTATCTAAACCCTTAACAGAAGACAAACAGTATTTTTATTCCTGTTTTTGTACAAGATTACATCTGATACATAAAAGTATCTCTGAATATTCAGCATTTGTAGTGAATGATGTAATGATTTAAAGTTATCAGTATGATACAGACAAATAGCACTGGACTGCTACCATCTACTTATGTAACCCTGGGAAAGTCGCTTCGCGATATATACTAATTTCTCTTCTGTCTGAAAAATGATCATTTTAAATAATTATTAATTTAGTTAATCCTCAATACAATTATTTCCAGGATACTCAACATAGAGATACTGAGGTGATGGGGCACAATCGCCTGCATCTATGCCATCTATGCCATGCTTAAAGATGTGGGCATTTCATCTATCAGAAATTACTCACTTCCAGTAGCTCAAATAAGATGCATTTACTGTATGCAAAGTGCACTCTCATAGACAGTGGGTATTTATCATAAAGTTCTAAAATGCATCTACTCTAGTCTTAAGACAGGGTACCAGAATAACCTTCATAAACATGTATCTGTTCATGTCCAGTCTTTCAAAACCTGCAAAAATCTTCACTTTCCCTCTGCCACAAAATAAAAAGCAAATTTCCCACCCTAGCAATCAGGGCCCTCCAAACCTGACCCCAAACAACTGTACTTCCCACTCTCCAAGACGCCAGGGGCTAAGTTAAAGGAACTGAGGCCAAACCCCACAGAGTGAAGGAAAAAGAAAATGCGCTTACCTCAGGCTGGCTATGCACTAGGCACTGGCAAGGTATTTGCAGTTACGCGATCTCATGTAATTCTGGTAGTCTGGGTCTTCCCACTTTGTCTCCAAGGCCCAGCTGAGCCCTGTGAGGAACTGCACATTCCTTTCGCTCATATATACTCCTCTCTGTGTGTCTGCAAATAGCCTAAGGCTATGAATGGAACATGCTTTGTTTGTACACACTGGTATTTGCACATGACAAAAATCAGGCTTTGCCACCTACTAATTCCCTCAGATTCAGAAAAACAGCTAAGTTTTCCAAGAATCCCCAAGAGCTATTTTAAGTAAATTTTATAAATTTGTGCGCCTTCATGAGGCTTAATCTGTACTAGAAGGGTCTCTCATTGTACAGTGTATCTAACACAACCAGTCACTGTCTTCCACAGGACAGCCTGTGACTATGCTGCTATGTAAATCGAATGAAGAGACGCACAGAGCAAAGCCTTGCTACTATCCTTACTGTACTTTCACCTAGGTCTATCTAACTAGTAATCGAAATGTATCATATACAAACATTAATTTGCATAATTTACCAAAACACTTTTTGTCATGATTCAAATGAATCAATACAGCTGGCCCTTGAACACGGGTTTGCACTGCATGGGTCCACTTATACACATATTTTTTTCAGTAAGTTACACTGCGTGTGCCTGCCTCTCCTGGCCCCTTCCACCTCCTCCACCTTTTCCACCTCTGTCACCCCTTTCTCTTCCTCTTCTGCCTACTCGATGTGAAGACCTTTCTTTATAGGATCCACTTCCACTGAATGAACAGTAAATACGTTTTTACATTTTCTTTTCTCTAGCTTACTGTAATGCAAGACTATAGTATCTAATGCATACAATGGGCCAGGTGCAGTGGCTCAAGCTGCCTATAATCTCAAGGCTTTGCGAGGCTGAGGAGGGAGGACAGCCTGAGGCCAGGAGTTGAAGCCCAGCCTAGGCAACACAGCAGGCCCTACCTTTACAAAAAGTTTTAAAAATTGGCCAGGAGTGGTGGCGCATACCTGCAGTCCTAGCTACTTGGGAGGCTGAGGTGAAAGGATCAGTGAGCCCAGGAGTTTGAGGCTACCGGGAGCTATGATTACACCACTGCACTCCAGACTGGGTGACAGAGCTCCACTCTATCTCAAAAACAAAACATATAAAATATAAAATGTTAATTGTTTATATTATTAAGGATGCTTCCAAACAACAGTAAGCCATTAGTAAATTTTGGAGGGAGGGGGTTGGTGCCCCTAACTCTCACATTGTTCAAGTCAACTGTACTTCAGAAAGACTGGAATTTCTAAAATTACGGTTAATATTTTCACAGCAAATGTTTTAAATATGGGCATAGGTATACACAAAAACATGTGCATGTATTTATGTACCCCCCAACAGAAACCTTCTTTTTTTTTTTTATCCTCTTATTCACGGAATAAGCATTGAAATGCATGGAATAAGCATGGAACTACTCCCACATTCTGAGACGTCTTGGGACATAGGCAATGTTTTACACGATTTAATGGCTATAATGACTTTCTAATACAAAAGTGCTAGCGGCCGGGCGCAATGGCTCATGCCTGTAATCCCAGAACTTTGGGAGACCAAGTCGGGTGGATCACAAGGTCAGGAGATGGAGACTATCCTGGCTAACATGGTGAAACCCACCTCTACTAAAAATACAAAAAATTAGCCAGGCGTGGTGGCAGGCGCCTGTAGTCCCAGCTACTTGGGAGGCTGAGGCAGGAGAATGGCGTGAACCCGGAAGGCACAGCTTGCAGTGAGCCGAGATTACGCCACTGCACTCCAGCCTGGGCGACAGAGCGAGACTCCTGTCTCAAAAAAAAAAAAGTGCTTGAATGCCAAGAATGATCTTTATCTCTCAAAAAGAGCATCTGCTCTAACATATTTGACAGAGGCTTGGTCAAAGTGATTAAGAAATGTGCTGGCAGAAGGGAAGAAAATAATACGAAGGTTGCTTGGAACATCCCTGCCCTGCAGCCACCTATTTTACTAGCAAATAAAAGATACCTAACGCACAACACAGCCAAGTCTTCTTGCACAAAAAGACAGATAAGCACCAGGTGCCTAAAACTTTATCATTGTTATATCACAATCAAAAAAGCTCCGAAAGCAGATCCCCTCTTCTCTAAAGCAGGGGGTCACTGTATATGGGCACAAAGACTACCACACTCTGAATCCAGCATATGAATTCTTTTTAAAGGCGTTAACAGGAATTATACACCTGTAAACGGGACAGGCCCAGTGACACAACTGTCTGCTCATTTTCATGCCTTTTCTTCCTGAGGAAAAAACCAGGCAAAGCGGTGGATGGTTACAGAAGTACCAGAGGAGCCAACCTCATACTAAAATAAGATATTTCAATTTGTAAGAATATTTTTTAAAATTAAAAAAATCTGATAGCAACTTTAATGCCTTAATTTTTACCAGACTACTCAGCAATGCCGTAAGCGTAAACTCTTCTACAAGGTTCCCTGTAGCATAGCACGGAAAAAGCACAGCCTTCACATGGACTTAAACCTGGCCACAAACAAGCTACACTTACTGACTATATGATTTCTAACTTTCTATTATACACATTACTTGTTTTTCATATCTGGCTTAAAACTTTGAATTCAAGCACTTGACTCATGTATCTATGAGGCTCCGTGTGGGCGCCTAAGTGCTCTAGAAGAACCATGGTTGGCTTGGTTTGTTTTTAATTATGAAAGTAATCTACTTACATTACAAAACTATAGGACTGAAGAATAAATATGTAATCACACGTAATACTACCACCCTTACAGAAGCTACAAGTTTTGTCTATTTCTTCTAACCTCTTGTTCTTGGGCTGTTTTTCCTACTAACAAGCTGAAAAATTCATAGCTTTTTACTCTGATAAACATAATTGTTTTTTAAAAATTCAAACAGTCTAGAGAAGGAAAACACTTTTCTCAACCATTATTAACCGTTTGATATACACAGCCTTCTAGTTTTCTAATTCGCATATAATTCTCTTAATGTTTGTAATTTAGCAGTAATAGAATTACATAATAGTATATATGCGATAATGTTCTATAATATTTTTCAATTAATGTATTAATAACTTTCCCTGTCAACAAATAAAAATCTATATTACTTCTTTAAATAAGTTATAGCTTCCTTTAAGAGTTAAACATATAGATGCAGATCTTATGCAGAATTGCTAAACAGAATGTAAATTATGTACAGACCAAGAAGTTTCTTTCTTCCCTTCTCTTTCTGGTGTCACTGACGTAGGCACAATCAGCAACCATGTTGTCATTACATTGTGTTAGGAATGTGCAGATCACAGAAAAGCATCATTTTAATCTTCTAGTACACCTGGAGTCCTGTCTAAATCTTCAGGCTAAAGAAAGCTAGAGTGATTTGGATAGATAAATTGTAATAGACTGAAGACAAGAAAAGTGCACTCTGCATTTCCTAGGCAGCCAGCCAGTTACACAGCATAACCGTACTTTTGCACGTAAAGACGTCCCTTCACCTTCTTCTCTTCTCTAGATAAAGGATTTTTCTACTAGCCTCCATAAGAGAGAGGAAAGAAAACCCTAAAAGGCCACCATGACGCCAAGACTTCACCTTTATTGACTTACCATTTTTCATCTACTTTCACAGAAGGGATTTATGGCCCACTCCTCTTTAGTAAGAGTCAATACACTTTACGAACCTCCCATTCTGTCTAGTAAAAGATTTAACAGGAAGACTGCCCAGCCGGGCAACCAATGGCACTAAATGATGGCATACAGGGTATCAGACAACATGGCACTTGACTCTGAGGAGATGCTTAGGGTGATCACAGACACGCTCTAACCTACTCTGCGTGGCAAACTGAACACAGTCCCAACAAAAACACACAAAGTAGTGCACTAATGAACACAGTTCATTCCGTCCATCGACTAAATGTCTAGGCTGTTTCAGGAACTGTGTAGGACAGTCGGCATTCTGGAATACAACAGCTCAGTTCCTAAAAACAAGTCTGGTAAAGGGAAGAGACATGCATTAAGACATGTTGACAGCGATATAGTGAAAGAGATAACCGCACAGCACTATGAAGGCATCAAGAAGAAAACAGCCACCTGTCAGGATGGGGCTGATCAGGACGGTTTCTCAGAAGAAACGAATACTCAGATCCTCAAATGAGGAGGAGGTCTGCCAGGTGGAGAGAAGAGGCAAAGGCATTCCAGGTAGAAGGAGCGGCTGGCAAAATTAAAGCATGACAGAGCACTGGGAAATTGTAGAATGTAAATTAGTACCTGCCTGACTATGCAAAAGAAATCTCTGAAAGGATACACAAGAAACTAGTAATACAAATGAACTGCTAATACTAGTAATACCATAAGGAAGTGGATGGTGGGCAGAGGGTGGGAGAAAACTTTTCACTGGCTATGCTTTAGACAGTATGAATATATCTCTCCAAATAAATAGAATTATAAATAAATAATACATAAAACTAACTCTTGCCCCCTACCCCATGACAAAACAAATCCAGCATTTTTTATGCAGAACACACAGCTGGGATAAGTAACAGACAGGAGACTGGTATATACGGGTCTTTCCCCAAATCATGTCTGAGTGACCCTGGGATATGGGAACGCAACCCTCACAAGATGAAATCATCCTTTCCGGGTAAGGTGGTCTCGGTGTAACAATCAGGGAAGCCCTAGGGGCAGAATCACAGGTTTCATTCTATTCAAGCAAATGGAGAATCACAGGGGCAGAATCACAGGTTTCATTCTATTCAAGCGTGTTTCCAGAGCCATCGTTTTCACAGTAATCAAAATGTGCCCTAATGATCACTGTGGCCCGGGGTGGGGGCTGGGTGGGGGCTGGGGGGGGCAGGGTGGGGCAGATAAGAGTGAGAAAAAGTAAAAAGTTTGAAAATTACCAATCTAGGGAAGAACACCAGCATTGCCATCATCCAAATCCTACGTTATTCAAAGACTTTCGGAGGCCTCTACAGTGTTTAACGAAAAAATTCCTATTGATAAGTGATTAGC